>NC_000011.10:38847878-38999393 GCF_000001405.40 Homo sapiens | reverse complement strand
ATATTGACAAGTTGCCTAGATTTGCTGTCGTCTGAACATTTTACATGGACTTATATGTATGAATGGATTCATTATATATATATATAATTTTTGTGTTTGTGTTTATATATGAGTTGCATGCTAACAAGGATTTGTTTAGTGGTGGTGTGTGATATATTTGTTTTTCAACTGCAGGTAATTTTAACTGTAAAAAGAACAGTGGGCCAGACATGGTGGCTCACACCTGTAATTCCAGCACTTTGGGAGGGTAAGGGGGACGGATCACTTGAGAACAGGAGTTCCAGACCAGCCTGGTCAGCATGCCGAAACCCTGTCTCTACTAAAAATACAAACAACAACAACAAAAAATCAGCAGGATATGGTGGCACATGCCTGTATTCCCAGCTACTCTGGAAGTCGAAGCACAAGAATGTCCTGAACCCAGGAGGTAGAGGATGCAGTAAGCCGAGATCATGCCACTGCACTCCAGCTTGGGTGACAGAGCGAGACTCTGTCTTGAAAACAAAAACAAACAAATAAAAAAAGAACAGTCATCAGTCAACTCTTAGGATGCATTATTTCAACTTCTTACACCATAGCATTTTGTGCAGCTTAACAAAGTGAACTAAAAAAGAAGAAAAATAAAATAGCAAGAAGTTTATATCATAGCAATCTAAACATAATACTTTAGACTCTTGATAATGTCTTTATTTATGTCATTTGATTGAACATTTTCTGCCCCAAATAAATCTATAGATCATAGAAATTGATTTACTAACACCCAATTTAATATAAGAGGATTTAAAACACACAAAGACTTGACGTATCTTTTTAAAATTCCCAGAAGTGTTAAAGGTAAAAATGTATGTGTGTCATGTAGTAACCTCGATATTTTATTTAGTAATGTATTATAGGTTTGCATTTTGCAACCACTTTTTTTTCTACTGTATTCTACGACGGTATAAGCATTACAAGTTAAGTATTCAAAGGTAATTTTAATTTTTAATGGACAAGTTAACTTACAGTTATATCTGCTTAAACACTTTCCCATGATAAAATGTTGATAATCATCACTTACGTGAAACTTTATTCATCCATTTTTTTCTGTGTATAACAAGCCTTATCTGAAGTAGAAAATAGAAGGGAGTACAATCCTTGATTCATCTCTTACTAGTTGTGAATTACCTTAGGCAAGTTGCTTTACCTAATTCCGTCTATTTGTTTTCCATCTCTGAGTTTAGTATAATAGGATTTTTTGAGGATTAAATGAGGTGTTATATGTAAATCATTTAATACAGCACTTAGAAATATAATTCACATTTGTGTTATTATTGATATATTTATGATCGTCCTCAGCCCTTCAATAAAGTTTAGCCTTTGTACAGTTCTTCACTAGTATTTCAAATCTTAGGGTATGATGTCAGTCATAATCTGAAATTGAGGTTTTATTACAGTTATGGCTCTATCTTTAGATGGAAACACTACTAGTTGATCTTACAATAATCTTCAAGAAAAAGCACATTCGAACAATAATTTCCACAGCGTCGAGTTTATTCAGTAAATCATATTACATATAGTTGCCCAAAGAGTCAAGTTTATTCAGTAAATCATATTACATATAGTTGCCCAAAGAGGGAAGGCTCCTAATTTACCATTTTAGATCAAGTTTTTTGAATTTTCAAAAGAATACCCAATCCAAAAAAATTAAAAATGACTATTCTAGGTAATAAAGGTATGCTGTCCAAAACTTTCTGCAATAATGGAAAGGTTCTATGTCTTTGATCAACACAATTGTCATTAGCACTTTAAGTCTGCCTACTGAGACGGAGAAACATGATTTTTAATTTTACTTAGCTTTAATTATTTTAAATCTGAATTTAAATAGCCACACATGTGGCTGGGGGCTACTATATCAGATGGCATAGGTTGACAGTCTATTCCTGAATCAGGCCAAAGCATCAATGCACCAACTCTCAGGACTATATTCTATTCTATGGTGCCAACTGTTGGCACCATATTCTATTACCAATTAAATAATTACATTGAACGATTTATGCTTTTTACATGATTTTAAAATGTATTAATACAGCTAAGTAAAAAGGGTTCCCCGGAGAATCTCCAGCCAGCCTGAGCACTGGGAGGATGGAGTGGGGCCTGAGGAAGCTCCCACCATTTGCAGAGGGTAGGAGCCTGGCCTCTCCTGTTCCTGGGTGGGGACCTGAGATTCAATCTGTGAGATGGGGGTATGTTAACAGGAACCCCTCTTGCTTGGCTAGGAGTCGTTTTCCTTTTAGCCCAATAAATTCTGTAACCCCCTCACCCTTCAAAGTGACTGCGTGCCTAACCTTTCCTGGTCTTGTAACAAGAACCTGTTTTTTTTTCTACAAAAGTATTTTGAGAAATAACAGGAAAACCAGCCTTCACTGCAGATTCTACTTATTAGGATGCTCAATTTTTTTATGCATTCTCCTCTACTCTCAGTAACAGACCACAGATGACATTTATCTCTTACCACACTCTCAGGAATAAATGTGCTTTTCCTGAGCAACTAGTTTATTTTAACTTATGAACTCTATGATGAATTAAACTTTGTTTCTCTCTTTCCAATGCCTGATGCCTGTCCCAAATATAAGACACTCTTAGTGACAAAAATCAGAAAATGAAAATAATTTTCACACGAATTGACCCCAAACAGTATTGATACTTTCAGGTATTGTTATTTTTAAAATTAAAAATATTTAACATTAACATTTGATCATAAAGTTGAAGCATTATAAGCATAGGAGGCATTATTTGATGCAAACGAATGAAACCCCAGGAAATCTCTAATTAGGCTTTTTAACCTCTCATGCCTTACCAAATTAACATGCTATAAAAGAAGTAACATTACATCTGTAGAAAATGACTATTTCAATTTAAGACTACAGAAGAATCTCCATTGCCTCTTTACTAGATAATTACTGGGTCATACATTAACTGTATGTTTAACCTCTAAAGAAATGTCCATGGCCAGGCACGGTGGCTCATGTCTGTAATCCCAGCACTTTGGGAGGCTGAGGCAGGCGGATCATGAGGTTAGGAGTTCGAGACCAGTCTGGCCAACATAGTGAAACCCCGTCTCTACTAAAAATACAAAAAATTAGCCGGGTGTGGTTGTATGCGCCTGTAATCCCAGCTACTCAGGAGGCTGAGGCAGGAGAATCGCGTGAACCAGGGAGGCGGAGGTTGCAGTGAGCTGAGATGGCGGGCGCCATTGCGCTCCAGCCCGCGCAGCCGTGTGAGACACAGTCTCAAAAAAAAAAAAAAAAAAAAGTCCACACCATTTTCCAAAGCAGCTGCATCATTTATCATTTCCACCAAGAGTATATATGGACTCCAATTTTTTATATCCTCACTAAAACGTGTTTTTATCTGGTTTTGATCAAAGCTATCCCAGTGAGTGTTAAGTGGTATCTCATTGTGGTCTTCATTTGCATTTCCATGATTGCTAATAATATTGAGCATATTTTATGTGCTTATTAATCATTTGTATATCTTATTTGAGGACTTGCCTTCTCAGATCTTTTGCCCATTATGAATATTTTTCTGAAGGAAGAAAACAAGGATTAGAAATATTAAGTCACCTGCCCAAGTTTATGCAGGTAATGAATCAAGTATAATATAACTTATCTGAAACTCAATATGCTCTGAGGATCTGAGGTCTGAAGGACTACATTTATTCTGTTAATCAACTACTTCCCAATTATTAACATACCTGAACAGAAGCCATTCATATTTCTGGAAATGTTTTCTACATTAAAGAACAATTTTGGTGTTTAATAGCAGCAAATACTACACTATTTTTCATTATGAAAAGAAGTCTACCAACTCAAAGTCTCCAAATGATAAACTAAAAATTAATACAAATATTTTTTCAGATTTCTCAGAAGAAGGAAGGGGTGATGATCTGTTTGTGTTAGGGCGAATGCAAAGGGCAAGTAAGTGTGTGCAGTTAGAAAGGAGGTTTCACTTGATTCCCTTCGAATTCCTATTTCCTCTAGGCAATGAGGACTTAGAGAAAACACAGTTAGGTAAACGTGAATACTAAAAATGGGACACCTTTCTATTCAGTACAAACTCCTATCAAAATCTTTTCCTATCTTTGGGAATTGTAATGATCTTTAATCTTTCTGAAAATGGCTTGTTGAGCTGAAAGCTTTTAGGACAAGAACAAATGCCCTCCCAAGAAATATTAGCACAGCCTGAGTGTCAGAAAGAGAGCAGGGTGCAAAGCACAATGTGTGAAGGTGATTAGATAATAGAGACAGGTCCTGGAAGCCACACTCATGAAGGACAAAAAACATTTTCTATTCCAAAACTGGGTTGTTAATGTTTTGCCACAGAACACAGAGCATTGCGTTTCTCATTCCACTCACTGGTAGCAAATTTTGCTGTATGTCATTCTGGATTGTTAAAAAAAAAAAAGTGTGATGCCTTCCGTGATAAATCTAAGCATGTCAATCATATTTGATTAAACTTAGCAGCAGCAATAGCTTCTAGCGTGCTATCAGTCCATCTCTATTTAAGATTATTATTATTTTTTTTACCATGGGTTTTGAGTTATCAGAAAGCATCAGAGCTCTATATTTGTGTGACATTTCTGGAACCTCATATTTCCAAAATGTATTATGCTGTATGATGTGAAGCAAAGTTAAATAGGGAATGAATTTATTCATGAGGGAAAAGAGGTTAGGGTAACTTGCATAGATCATGCAATCTAGAGTTAAATAAAGATAGAAAGGATGCAAATCCATGGTAAATGCTTATTAATGTTTTTATGATCAGGTTATAAAGAATATTAGTTTTGCCTGTCAGCATGGAAGACAATCATGTGAATTATGGGAAATTCTTCTTGAGTTTTTAATTCTTTATCTTCCAGATTTTGTGTATAATTTATCTACAATATTTTCTATTGTACACTAATCTTTCCTTCCTTAGCCTTTTTCAATTATAGCTAACTACAACCATAATGTAAAAATAGTAATTTTAATAAATATTGCATAATTTGGGAGGCCGAGGGGGGAGGATCACCTGATGTCAGAAGTTCAAGACCAGCCTAGCCAACATGGTGAAACCCCATTTCCACTAAAAAATACAAAAATGAGCCGGGCATGCTGGCGGGTGCATGTAAACCCAGCTACTCGGGAGGCTGACGCAGGAGAATCCCTTGAACCAGGGAGGCAGAGGTTGCAGTGAGCTGAGATCACGCCCTACTGCATGCCAGCCTGGGCGACAGAGCGAGACTCCGTTTCAATAAAATAAAAATAAATAAAATGTGTCAGGCAATTTGTTGATCTGCTGCAATGTAGTGCTTTACTCAATATTCCCTGCAGCTCAATGATGTAGGTAATGCTGTTACTCAGTTAATGAGATAACCCAAGGTTAGAGCAGATAGCAACTTACCTGCATGGTAAATAAGACCACTACTAGATTGGCTTTGTTTTAACTAGTAATAGTTCCTAATCAAATTCTGGCCATGTATATAAAGATTCCTCTAGAAGTTTTCACCTTGCAGTGGAAAGGATCTGATATTAACTATACTGCAGTTATCAAGAACCACTACAGATAGCACTCTATTATAATTGTCTAATTGTTTGACTCTCTTCCCTCAAAAGATATCACATTTGGGTGGGCAAGAATGGCATGTTGTTCACAATTGTATGTTGAAATTGAACACAGTAATGATAAGCACTAAACATTCATTGACAAAACAATTTTAAAAGAAGCACTGGTGAAGGGCATGAGCAACTTCATGTCAACTCTATCACACCCTGTCCTTCCCCCAACATGTTGTTCCTATTTGACAAGACTTCTGTGTGTCATCAGTTTCTCCCTTTTAATGCTTGATTTTCTGCTGAGATCTGTATTTCTCCCAATACCCTGGAAACTAGGGTAAAACAGTAAAATTCTATGAAATGCATTTTAGATCATAGCCCCTTTAATTAAAACCATTGTTTAAGATCCTACCCAAAGAAAATTACTTGGAATTACAACAGCACCTTTCAAAGTTGGAAGTATTACTGCTATTTTGAATCCTCTGTAGTCATTTCTCTTCTACCAGTTTGAACCAAGACAAAGTTCACTTGCCACCATATTATGGTGGCCAATTATATTTCCAGTTCAATTTTTCAGCTTTGATCTTATTCAGTCTCATTTCCACTTCCATCAAAGTTTACAAATGTGACCTTAGTACTTATACAGGGGATCTGAGTGACATAAAATTTCAGGTACATTAATATTTTTGCAGAAAATGAGTCAGTATACCTTGAAAGGATCTGTTCTTTTTTTTGAGAGGGAGTCTCCCTCTGTCGCCCAGGCTGGAGTGCTGTGGCAGATCTCCGCTCACTTCAAGCTCCGCCTCCCGGGTTCACGCCATTCTCCTGCCTCAGCCTTCCAAGTAGCTGGGACTACAGGCGCCCGCCACCACGCCCGGCTAATTTTTTGTATTTTTAGTAGAGATGAGGTTTCACGGTGTTAGCCAGGATGGTCTGGATCTCCTGACCTCGTGATCCGCCCACCTCGGCCTCCCAAAGTACTGGGATTACAGGCGTGAGCCACTGCACCGGGTCTGAAAGGATCTATTCTAACTAGAGTCAAACTTTAGAAACAAAGTGGATTTTACACTTTCCTTTTAAAATACTTTAATTGAATTTAAGAGGAGTGAGTTCAAAAGTAGGAATTAATTTTAAAAAGCACTTAATGAGTAAATAAATTCCATTACTAAATTTAAAATGTTAACATAATGATTTGCTACTCAGTTCACCATTTTTTTTGACTCAATCTTTTGGTTTAATTAGCTTCTTTTTTTTTAAATTCCTAAATTGAATTTACATTATACTTGTACAAGTCCACCCTGCAGATATAATGAATGCAATAATGGATCTATTTGTAGATAAGAATTACTCTGTGTATGCTTTTAAGATTTATTCAAGATAGTTAGAAAATTGCTGAGAAAGAAAAAGGAAAAATTACAAAAACTATTAGAAAAGTGAACTTATATAGTGCGTACGTGTGTGCATGTGTTCATATGTGTGGATGTGTGTTATTGTATATGAAGAGGTTCTTTTTGTGATTTAATTGTGGAATTTAAAGGTAATATAGCATTTTAGATATATTTGGCTGCTTGTTTTTTTCAACTAGTAGTTTGGGAAATTTTTCAATTTATTCAGATTTAAAAATTGGGCTTAAAGTGACTTAGAATCTTCCTATTATAATTTGTTATTCATTTGATAATTTATTGTTTAAGGTGGTGACACTGTTTTATTATATTAATTATCATAGGAACTAATTTTACTACTACAATATAGAAACCAGCCAAAAAATTACTGATTTAATGATAAGTAAAATATTTAGTTTCATTACTGAGGCACTAAGCCTTTTACTGCTGAGCTCAAATCTTAGCTATTAAGACATAGAAAATAGATGATATAGAATTTTCCCTTCTTATATTATATAGACTAGAATGTGGAGTCCACAAAATTGATTTGTCATCAACTTTATTTATTTTACATTAGTCAACCAACATATTTTAATTAATTTTTAAATTTTACTTTGTAAATACTTAGTTTTATAGCATTAACATCAATTAATTTTTATTTATTTTTTAAATTTTACACTCTAAATAATAATTTTGCAGCATTCATGTAGAAATTCTACAATGTGTGCTATTGTAATTGATATAGTTGTTAACTCACACAACTTCTATTTATTAAAAAATTGAAATAGATTAATGTAAAATGAAAAATAAACCTATAAAAAAGATTAAAATTAAGAATCATGTAATAAATGAAATATTTATGGGAGAAGATAATTATTATATTCTAAGATATAGGCTGAAACAAATAACCAAAACTGAGTACATAACAAAATTTGAGTTTTCCAGTAACCAAGTAAAAGTGGAAAATCCTAGTTACTTAGTTTTCGTAGTTGCATTTATGTGGCACATGGTAACTCATTAGAAAGACATCGTACCATTTTTGTAACCTGAGAATATTGATCTTTTGGCCCATTGTATAAGTGGCTATTTCTGAGTAGCAAATATTCCTATACTCAGTGACTTATTGTTTTGAATAATTTACATTTATTTAACTCATGAATCTGGAAGTTTCCTAGGGATAGTTTGATCTAAGCTAGGTGCAGTGGAGTAGCTCTGCTGATCTTAGCTTGGTTTGGCTGACTAGCTTCAGGAATGTTCTTTTCTGATGGCAGAGGTGCAACCTGAACTTTCAAGTGCATTTTAAAGCTATATTTGTACTATGTCTGCTACGAGCACATTAGCCATAGCAAGGTACATGATCTAGCCCTAGTTAAGGAATGGGAAACCCCCTCACACCACCCCACAGTGGAAGATCACTACAAAAATACATAGAGAAAGGTATGCGTGTCCAATCATGTTACTGGAAGAGGGTGGAGAATTACAATAGCAATCTTACCTGTCACAATCATATCCTGTCATTCACTTAACAAACAATTATTGAGAAATTAATATGTTGAAAAAGCTATACATGTGCAGAGGATACAACTAGGAATAAAATGCAAAATTCTTTGGCCTCACATAGCTAAACTTTTATGGGAGGGAAAGAGAAAATAAAATACACAAGTAAAACACTTACTTATTAGATAATGACCAATACTGCAGAAAACACTATAAAGCAGGAATGAGGAATAGGGAGAATTGAGAGGTAATATTTTAAATAGAATTGTGAGCAAAAGACACACTGAGGAGGGAATATTTCACTAAAGACCCAAAGGAGGTGAGGGCACTACTAATATAGATAACTGAGATTTCAGGAAATAATCTAAATTGAGAGAGAATTAAATGAAAAGTACCCCCAAACTGATGCCAGTCCACTTATGCAAAGAGGGGGAGTTAGTAGGAGATGTGACCAGAAAAGTAAAAGTGAAAGGTAAAATAACATATCTATATAGAGTGGCTTTATAAACCACCGTAAAGGCTTTGATGTTTACTCTGAGTGAGAGCAAAGGCAATAAAGGTTATTGCGACATGATCAGATATAAGTTTTAACGGCTCATTCTGCCGGTTCTATTGAGCATAGAGCATGGGCAGGCAAAGGAGTGGCAGGGTATCAAAATTATTGCAGTAATTTAGATGAGGTAGGATGATGGCTTGGAGCCTTGGACCAGGGCCATAATGTGATGGTGGTGAGAAATTGTCCAAGTTTGAATTTCTTTTAAGGAAGAATTGATAGGAGTGGCTAATGGATTGATCGTAGCTCAGAGAAATAAAAAGCCTGCCTTCAAATTTTTGGTCTGAGCAACTATGATGTGTAAGTGAGCATTACTAGAAATGGAAAAAGCGTGGAAAGTATTGGGTATTAGATGATGACCAGGAGCTTGGCTGTGGACATTTATTAAAGTGGAGATGCCAAGTAAGCAGTCCTATATACCAGCCTAAATATTCCTGAGGAGGTGTGATGTAACAATGCAAATAGTTGAGTTATCACCATGACATTTAAGGATGTTTAAAACAATGAGTATGCAGGGCATGGTTCTCAAATACAATTTTGCCAGTACAACATATTAATCCATTACATTTAAATAAACAAATATGTACTGTTCACCCACTCTATTTAAGACTGTGCTAGGCTCAAAGTACCTATAATATCTAGCATACTACCTTACAGTTCTTAGGTGTCTTGTAAGGGATCCATAATTTTGTTTAAGCCTTAACTAAGTGGCTTGGGGTTAAGAAAGGATTTCTGTTGCAACATTGGAAATATAAAGTAAGAAGGATAAAGCTATAGAAACCAAGCTGAATGAGCTAATAAAAGATAATGATGATCTGATGAAAGGATCTCAATAAGCATGCAGATGCCCAAGGCCTGCGCAAACTCAAATGATTCCCAACTTAGCTGTTTGGGAGCCTGAGGTGTGTGGATCGCTTAAACTCAGGAGTTCGAGACCAGCTTGGGCGACATGGCAAAATCTCGCCTCTACAAAAAATTCAAAAATTAGCAGGGCATGGTGGTGCACACCAGTAGTCCCAACTACCTGGGAGAATCACCTGAGCCTGGGAGGTAGAGGCTGCAGGGAGCCAAGTTCACACCATGGCGTTCCAGTCTGGGTGACAGAGAGAGACACTGTTAAAAAAAAAAAAAAAAAAAAAAAAAGGCAGGCAGGAAGGAAGGAAGCATGGAAGGAAGGAAGGAAACGAAAAAGAAAGAAAGAAAACGGTCACAGGTTTATGTTCCATGGCCAAGAGTCTATAACTGTAAGTGGTCTGGGAGTTGTCAAACTTGATCCTAGAGTTTGTATACAACAGTATTTTGGCAGAGCTGGACTGAGAATACGCAAATCTGACAGCAAGGTGAATCAAGGCACAGGGATGAGCAAGGATTATTAATAGGCATAGGATTCCAGAAGGCACCATTCAAGTCACTTGAGAGACATCTTAAAAGCAGTCTCAAGAAAACTAGCCCATTCTAGTCTCTTACTTAAAGTTCAGTCTCTGAAACACTTGGGATTTCCCTCTGATTGGCCTTTCTCCAATTACAGAGTGCTATGATATTTCACTTATATTTAAAAAGCTATAACACTTTCTTGCTCCCACTTCAACACACAAGTCAGGATGGCAGGGGTGATTAACTTGGTGTGTGTTTTACAGATAAGTAAGGATTTTGAACTAATCTGTACATAGGGATATTTGGTCAGGCCTGAAGATTTAATTGAACTTGGCATTCACACAATTAGTTTGGTTTGTTTACTTTCTTATATCATTAACAAACTTACTAAAAAGGAGATACAAATAAACTTTGTGCCAATTACATAAGAAAATAATTGGATTTTATTAACCCAGGAACTCAGGCAATCAATTAAGGCAGGTGTACTCTGGTCTCAGTCACCTCATTATTCTTTATATGCTAATTTAATCACAAATACTAATGGATTGTATAGAAATGAGACACTTTATTCCATTAAACAACATATAAAAGCTCTTAAAGTGGCAATGCTTGTTTCCTTGACAAAAAAAAAAAAACTATTTTTGCTGAATGAGGTGTTTGCTTTAAAGTAGAAAACCTCTTTCTGAGCTATGATAATGGGTTCTTTATAAATTCTTGCTAAAATAACTAACTTTAACAAATGACCCTTTCAAGTTTCAAACTTGACAATTTTAATTGGATTATAAACTAAAACGATAAAAAGAGATCAAATATAGGTTCAAAGTCCATCTATTAAACTTACTACCTAAATGGTAATAGGAAAGATTGCCTTTGCCACTTCTCTGTGCCTCAGCTTCTTCACTGTAAACTGGGGTTGCTCATATTAGCATTGGCCGTGAAAAATTCTGGTGAGGGGAAAATACAACAATGTGTATAAAGTTACTGGCACATACTAGGTGCTCCATAAATGTTGCTTTTTTTCTTTTCTCCCTGTCTCTTTTTCTCAAGTTTAGGATGCACGCCTTCCACGTTGTAGTTGGCAAGAGACTCTTTCGAGATTTTCATTCTTAAAACAACAGTGTTGGGGTTCTTCAGAACAATCAAGCCAATTAATCATGAGCCACCTGTACCAATATAAAGATTATCTAGAACCTGTGGCTATTTTACTTTATTCTTCTATCAAATATTTCTCCGTTACCTACCAAGTACCAGTATTGCATGGAAAACCTGATTCTGAGGGTGGATAAATACTGGCATTTTTCTGCCCTATTTCAGCTTATACTTGAGTTAATAAGTTAGATGATTTTTAAAAAACGTATAATAAATGTTTTGGTATAGGAAAGTGTATCAGGGTCTTTCTGAAATCCTGTCTCCTGTGCTGTTACCTGGAAACTCATTCTAGGCAGTAAGCTGGAACAATTGCAAGGCTGATTTTAAATGTTATCCTTATCCCCAGAATCACAGAAATTTACTGCCTCTCATCTAATGTCTGAAACCTTTTGTTCTATATGTTTTACTTTATTTGCTACATGATTACAGTGTGGGGAAAATTGCTATAGAAATCACTGTTTTATGGGTGAAAATGGACATAATTTATTTAATATTCAATTAGACACTAGAGAGGGGCTTCAAGATGTTTGACTAGAAGCATTTCACCTTGCATCCTCCACTTAACCAAAATCTGGATGGACAATCACACTTCAAGTACATTATCGAAGAGAAGACACTGGAATTCAACAGAAAAGTGACAGGAAACCCCAAAAGCAAGGAAGGAGAAGGAAGAAAAGCAGCCCACTTGGCTGGGATCAGCTCAGAGCTAAAAATGAGTTCTCAACATGAGGAAAAGGTAAGTTAAAGATCTCCAGTGGCCCATATCCCCAGGGGGGATTTGTGCGATCCTGGCCATGGGAGAACCCCTGGACCCTCCTAAGTCCTGAAAACAACATATGGAGCAGGCAGGAGCCTGTTGGACAGAACTGCTCCAGGGAGGCAGCTCACTCTGGGTCCCACATCCTTTCTGAGACCTAGGTGGCTAGAGTGAGGTACCATTTTGCATTCTAGCTTTTAAGAGAACGCACACTGTGCAGGGGCCCAGTGGTGCCAGGACTGAGGCAATAAGGAAACTCATGCTGTTACTGCTGGGATGAGGGCACAAGCGGGGAATGAGCTCTCAAAGCTGAGGCTGAGAAGTGAGCAAGCACCCTGGGGACTTAGACTGGGTTGCCAAGGTCCCCAGGTTGTTTCCTGATTTTAATTGTGAGCTGGCCAGGGACTCCTGCAGGTGGGATTGAGGTGCAAACTAGGTGTGGCCTACTGCCTGCCACCAAGGATGGGTCATGAGAGGGACAGGCATTCCCTACCCTCCAGCCCAGGCTGTGGCCACTGAGGCAGGCCCTACCCTTTCCAGTGGTAGTTGACTCACATATTCTTCCTGGGGCCTGAGGATGGCCTGGCCCTGGTCACCATGGCTGGTATCTGCTGTCACCACTGGGGGGCCTGAACATAAGTCTGCCTACCCTGGTTTTGGTTTTAACCATCCCCTACCCTGCTTCAAGATAGAGCACATAGCTGGGGTCCTGGGATTGTCCAAACCAATCCACCATTTGGGTTACCTGGGCACTTTTCTCCAGGCCTGAGGTTGGGCCTAAACTTCTCACTACTACCATCTCAGCTGCACCAACCTGCAAGAACCACTTGTGAGCCTGAAGACTGGCCCACCCAGCCCATGGCAGCCACCGCCAACTCAACACACAAGGCTCCAGACTCACAGAATCATCCAGCCACTGCTACTGCCATCTCTCAGGCCACAGCAGCTTCCCAGGGTCCCAAAACCTGCCCGCCCACCAGATTCACTTTTACCACTACTGACATTTGAGCAGCCCAGTAATCACCAACACCAGTGACAGCGTACACTGCCCTAGGGCACAAGGACAAGTATGCTCAGCCCCCTGCTGACACCATGAAACCCTGAAGACTGGCCAGTCCACTGCATACCTTCACCACAGCCTCCTCTAATAACTGCACCCTAACCCACCAGAGAAATCACAGATACCACTAATTCTGTTTATAACCAAAGAAATAATTCAAAGATTACACTATTGCACACAACCAGAATAAAAGCCAAAGTGCCCTACTTAACCAACACCAAAGATACATCTTCAGGAAAGTCCTCCTCTGTGATAGGAAATTTAAACATATGAAGAAATGACTTTATACCACATGTCCAGATACCAACAGAAGGACACATGAAAAAGCAAGGAAATATGACATCTTCAAAGCAACACCATAATTATCCAGCAATAGGCAAATATTGCTATACTTAAGGAAGTTCTTCAGGTAGAAATGAAAGGACACTGATTGCTAACATAAGAACATATGAAACTGAAACTCACTGGTAAAGATAAATATATAGTCAAATTCAGATACCCCACTATTGTAATGATTAAGTGTAAATTATTTATACCTCTAGTATGCATGTTAAAAGTCAAAATAGTAAAATCAACTATAGCTACAATTATTTTGTTGATAAATATACAACATAAAAGGATGTAAATTGTGACATCGAAAATATAAATTTTGTGGGGAGGTAAAAGTCCAAAGTTTTAGTATGGGATTAAAATTAAATTAATCAGCTTAATATGGTCCAGTACAACTATAACATGTGTTTATGTAAGTTTCATGGTAGCTACAAGGCCAAAAAAATATATAGCATATACACAAATGATAAAGGGAATGGATTCAAATATTAGCCCTACAGAAAATCAATACCAATTCTTGAATAGTTAGAAATTTAACACACTGATTACATATGAAACTTATTCCAAAGTAACAATAAATTGTAGTTTCTTGAGGTATAATGGTAGGCTATTTATTTGGGATCTATTTTTCTCTTTTAATGTGGGCATTTACTGCTATACACTTTCCTTTTGTAACTGCATTGGCTGCATCCCATAGATTTTGGTATTCTGTGTTCCCATTGGCATTTGTCTCAAGTTATTTTTTTATTTCCCTTTTGATTTTTTCTTTGACTCATTGATTTTTCAGGAGAATGTTATTTAATTTCTACATATTTATGAATTTTTCAAAATTTCTCCTCTTGATTTCTACTTTCATAATATTGTACCTGAAAATCATAGTGACATCATTTTAATATTCTTAAGTTTGTTAAAAATTGTTTGATGCCCTACTGTGGTCTATCCTGGAGAATGCTTCATGTGCACTAGATAAGAATATATATTCTGCTGCTATTGGATGAAAAGTTCTGTATGTCTGTAGGATAGATTTTTGTCTTAAGTGTAGTTCAAGTCTAGTATTTCTTTGTTAATTTTGCATCTGGTTGATCTGTTCATGATTGAAAGTGGAGTATCCAAATTACCTATTATTACTGTTATCCATTTCTCCTTTCTTGTCCGTTAATATTTGCCTTATGTATTTAGGTGCTCTTATTTTGGATGCATATGTATTTACAATTGCTATAACTTCTTGATGATTTGACCCCTCTCATTAACTAGTAAATGTTTATTTCTCTTGTGATAGTTTTTGCCTTAAAATCTATTTTATCTGATATAAATATTGCCACCCCTGCTGTCTTTTGGTAGTTGTTTGCATGGAATGCCTTCTTCCATTTACATTCAGCCTATGTGTGTTCTAAAAGTTAAAGTGGGCCTCTTATAGGCAGCGTACAGTTAGTATTTTTTTTTAATTCATTCAGCCACTCCATATCCTTTGATTGGCAAATGTAAGCCATTTACATTAAAAGCTGTTATTGATATATAAGGAATTACTGCTGCCATTTTGTAACTTGTTTTCTAGTTGTTTTGTAGAACCTTTGTTTCCTTCTTCTGTGGTCTGCCTTTGTGATTTGCTGATTTTCTGTACTGCTAAGCTTTTAATTCTATTCCCTTTATCATTTATGTATACCCTATGTTGTTTTGTTTTGTGGCTACCATGAAGCTTTTGTAAAATACCTTATAAGTTGATAAAAATTTAACTTTGGTCACATACAAAATCTCTGGACTTTTAGTGTCCTCCCAAAATTTGTATTTTCGATGTTATGATTTATATGCCATTCTCTCCTGTCTTGCAAGGTTTTTTTTTGTTTGTTTGGTTTTTTTTTTTTTTTTTTTTTTTTTTGCTGAGGAGTCTACTGATAGTCTAATAAAAATTCCTTTGTATATGACATGTTGTCTTCTTTTGATGCTTTTATAATTCTCTGATTGTAATATGCCACAGTGATTACCTCTTTGAGTTGAACTTGTTTGCTGACTTTAAGGCTTTATAGATCTTGATGTTCGTATCTCTCCCAAGACTTGGGAATTTTTCAGCAATTATTTCATTAAATAAACTTTCTGTACTTTTTTTGTCTCTGTCCTCTGGAACTTCCATAATGCAAAAATGTATGTTTTCACTTAATGGGGTCCCATAAGTCCAATGGGCTTCCTTTATGCTTTCTCATTATTTTTCAAGTTTTTCTCTCTAGGTAATTTTAAAAGATTGATCTTAAAATTTACTGATTGTTCTTTCTACTTAATCTAGTCTGCTGTTGAAGCTCTTGGTTGTCCTTTTTATTTATTTCTATTGAATTATTCAAGGTTGGGCCCAGTGGCTCACACCTGTAATTTCACCACTTTGGGAGGCTGAAGCAGAAAGACCACTTGAGCCCAGGAGTTTGAGACAAGCCTGGGCAATACAGTGAGACCTCATTTCTACAAAAATATAGTTTAAAAAAAAAGAATTCTTCAAGTCCAAGGTTTTTGTTAGGTTCTTTTTGATTATGTATGTTTCTTTGTTGAATTTCACATTCAGATTATGAATTGTTTTCCTGATTTCCTTGAATCGTCTATGTGTAGTCTCTTGTATCTTGCTGAGTTCCTTCAATATCATTATTTTGAATTTCTTTTCTGACAGTTTGTAAATTCCTTTGTCTTTGAAACCATTACTGGAGATTATTTTTTTCCTTTGGTGGAAAGCAGAGTGCTACAGGTTTCAGTTCAGTTGGCAAAGCGGCCTAGTTCAACCAAGGCTCTATTTCTCTGCAGTGTGGGTTGAGGAATCAGCTCAGCCCTGGGAGGAAACCTGTTCATTTAGCACAAGGCTTCTACTCTCTAGGGGGCAGAGCGCCATGTCACTCAGGCACCAGAGTGTGACTGCTCTTCTTGTCCAAGGCACCTGTTTGCTGGGGGGCAGGGTACTACCTCAACTCAAGCACTAGGGGCTGTGAGTTCTCTAGATGGACAAGGCACCCATTCAAGAAGGGAGGTGCCACTTTCAGTCAAGTGCTAGAAGATGTGACTACTCTTCTTGGCCAATGCATATATTCCCTGGGAGGTGGGGCATCACCTCAGCTCAGGCAGTGAAGGGCAGGGACCAACAAAGAAATGGAATGGAGAAGATTGAGTGACTTTATGACAGCTTGGCCTCACAGGGCAGGGTGTAGCAGCAGCTCAACTTAAGGATGGTGGGCCACTGGGCGGGTGTGGTGCAGAGTTGATAAAGTCTTTGGAATGGAAGAGTAAAGTGGCTACTGTCTTCCAAGGCAGGACACACTCACTGTGGCTCTGCTTCTAAGATGGCACAGCACAATAGCAGCTTGGGCTGTGGTGGAAGAGGCACAGCACTGGCTCATTTTTTGTTGGGAGCATAGCCATGTGGACTTTGGGGAGCATCTCAGTTGGGCTCAGTGTATGTGAGGAATGCAGGAGTCTTTAAAAAGACTGTTGGTATCTGCAATGGTGATGAAATCTGCTGAGTTCCTGTTTAGCTTTTCCCCTCAGGGAGAAGTCCCTCCTGGTTCCAAGCTGATCCTGACTTGGGGTTTCCGTGAAAGAGGTAAAATGTTTTATTCCCTTCCCTATGCAGCCATCCAGTCTTTCTTTGCTCCTCAAAATTTCCGCTACTTCTTTGCTCTACACTGGCACTGTACTTTAGTTACTTTCACCAAACGTAGTTGTTTATTCATAGTTTTGTTTGTTTTTATTGGGGAAGATGAGTGGTAGGAACTTCTAGTTGGACATCTTATTGAACTTATTCCACATTTTCTTTATCCCTTCATCCCTTGATGGGCA
This sequence comes from Homo sapiens, assembly GCF_000001405.40. Classification (NCBI taxonomy): domain Eukaryota; kingdom Metazoa; phylum Chordata; class Mammalia; order Primates; family Hominidae; genus Homo; species Homo sapiens. The sequence goes on along the minus strand of NC_000011.10, from coordinate 38,981,911 downwards.
CTTAATTTGTTTCCATATCTTTACTATTGCAAATAATAGTGCAATGGATATTGGAGTGCAGATATCTCTTTGGGATCATGATATTATTTTCTTTTACTATATACCTACAATTGAGATTGCTTGATCTTATAGTATTTCTATTTTTGAATTCTTGAGGATCACACATAATGTTTTCCATGGTGAATTTACCAATTTACATGCCCACCAACGATTCCTTTTCTCCACATGCTCACCCACACTTGATGTCTTTTCACTTTGTTTATAATAGCCGTTGTAAAAGTTGTAAGGTAATATCTCGTTGTGGTTTTCATTTGCATTTACCCAATGAATAGTAACATTTAACACCTTTTGATATAACTGTTGGCCATTTTTAATGCCTTTTTTGTAAAAAGAAAATCTATTTTAGTTCTTATTCATGTTATAAACAGGTTTTTTTATTCATTTAAGTTGTGTAAGTTTCATATATATTTTATATCTTAATGACTTATATATTTCCTCCAAGTTAATAGGCTGCTTTTCATTTTCATCTTCTATTTTGTCAATTGTTTCCTTTATTATGCAGAAACTTTTTAGTTTGATGTAGCCCCACTTATGTTTTTGCTTTTGTGGCCTGTGCTTTTGTTGTCATATCCAAAAACAATATCAACAATTTAAAGAAGCTTTTCTCCTATTTTTTTCTAGGAGATTTATGGTTTCAAGTTTTACTTCAGCCTTTAATTCAGCTTGATTTAATTTTTGTGAGTGTTATAACAGAGGTATCCAATTCTTTCTTTTGACTGTGGATATCCATTTTTTCCACATTATTTATTAAAGAGACTACTCTTTTCCCATTGAGTATGCATAGTGCCTTGTTGAAGATTCATTGACTGTACAAGCAAGGGTTTATTCTTGAGCTGTGCATTTCATTCCTTTGGTCTATGTGTCTACTTTTATGCCAGCACAATACTATTTTGATTACTATAGCTTTGTAATATAATCAAAAACATTGTAATTATGAAGTATGTTGCCTCTGACTTTGTTCTTCCTCAATATTGCTTCAGCTATTCAAAGTCTATTGTGATTCCATACAAGGTTTAAGATATTTTTTGTTCTATTTCTGTGAAAAATGCCTTTGGAATTTTTATATGGATTGCATTTCATATGTATATTCCTTTGGGTAATATGAAGAGGTTAATATTAATTCTTTCAACCCACGAACACAGAAGAATTTTTCATTTATCTATGCTTCATTTATTAATGTGTTTTATTTATCAATTTATTTTATCACTGTCTTATAGATTTCCCTGTATAGATATTTCCCCTCCTTAAAGTTATTCTTAAGTATTTTACTATTTTTGATACTATTTTGATTTTATAAATGTGATTTTCTTAATTTTTTCAGATAGTTCATTGCTAGTGCACAGAATTACAGCTGACATTTTATGCTGATTTCATATCTTGTAAGTTTACTGAATTTGTTCATTATTTCTAATAGTTTTTTAGTAGTTTTTAAGCCACTTTTTTAAAAACACTGTTTCATAAACTAGTTTTATTTTCTGAACTGTTTTTCTAAATTTTTTTCTAAATAGTTGCTCTTTTGTTACAAATAAATTGCACTTTTATTCCCCCTCACCTTTTACGTTTTTTTTTTTTGAGGCCGAATCTTGCTCTGTCTCCCAGGCTGTAGTGCAGTGGCGCAATCTCGGCTCACTGTTACTGTATTTAATCATTCTAAATTTGAGAATGCAGTTACTTTTATCAGTGAGTTCTATACATTTATATGTTTTAGTGTTAGTAATTCATGTTCTTTTTTCAGTTTAAAGTACTTCTCTAGCATTTTTTGTAAGACAGGTTGAGTGGTGTTGAACTCCTTCATCACCAGCTTTTATTTCTGTGGAAAAGCATTAATCTCTTTTATTCCTGAAGGACTGCTTCAGTATTCTTGGTTTGAAGCTTGTTTTGTTTTGTTTTTCAGCACTTTAAAAATATTATCTTATTTTCTCCTCGCCTGCAAGTTTTGTGCTAAGAATACATTGATAGTCTTATGGTGGTTTTCTTGTATGTAAAGTATTCTCTTTTTGCATTTAAAATTCTTTCTTAGTCTTGGATTGTTGAGAGTTTAATTGTAATAGTTTGACTGTAGTGTGTCTCAGTGAATTTCTCTTTAGGTTAAAACTGTTTAGGAATCTTTAAGCTTATTGTCCCTGTCTATACCTCTCCCCAGTTATGGGAACTTTGCAGTCATTGTTTCTTAAATAAGAATTTGTCCTCTTTCTCTCTCTCTTCTCCTCCTGAGAGTTCCATTACCTGTAAATTAGTTCTCTCTTCTCCTCCTGAGAGTTCCATTACCTGTAAATTAGTTCTCTTGATGATGTTTTATAAATATCTTAGGGTTTTTTAAATTCTCTTTTGTTCTCTCTTCTTTTTCCTCTTTGACTGATAATTTAAAATGGCCTGTCTTCAAGTTTACAGGTTCTTTATTCTGCTTGATTAAGTCTGTTGATTATGCTGTTGCATTTTTAAATTTTATTTATTGTATTCATCAGCTCTGGAATTTCTGTTTTATTTTAAAATGATTTATACTTGTTGAATTTCTGATTCTGTCTCTGTATTACTTTTCTGAATCATTTAGTTGTCTATCTGTTTTCTCATGTAACTCACTGAGCTTCCTCAAAACAGTTATGTTTTTTGTCAGGCAATTTGTAGAACTTCATTTGAGGGAGGGGATAGATTTCGGGAAAACTATTGTGTTCCTTTGCTGGTGTCATGTTTCCTTGATTTTTTTATGTTACTTGAATTATTGTGGATGTCTTTGCATTTGAAAAAGCAGTCATCTCCTCCAGTCTTCGCTGACTGACCACAGAAGAGACTGCTTTCATCAAAAACCTGGCTAGGGATTCTGAGGCTCTCTAGGATCTCTTCTATGGATATGCCTGCTCCACACCTCATGTTTCCTCTTGGAGGATAATTTATAAGTTCATATGCCTCCTCTCAGTCCTGTAAAGGCAAGCTGGGTCCTGAGAGCTTCCATTTGTTTTCCTTAGGGTGGTGCCCCGATGTGGTTAAGTTTGTGTTTCTTCTCCCAGTCTCACATCTTCAGCCTAGTGGTCACCACATGTACACAAGCCATCTGCAAGACACTCACGCTTGCTATCCATGGTGGTGTGCATGGGGAGCTGGTCACAGGTATGAAGGAAGCACACAGAGCATTGGCGGGGGTGGAGAGGGGCCATTCCATGAATGAGGCATCTCAAGCAGCTTATAGGCAGGCTTCCTGAAAACGTCTCTGAAGCAGTGAGTAGGATCCATGGCTCTGTGTTTGGTTCTGCGCCCTGATTTCTGTTAGTTCCCACCTCTCTTCCCTGCTCCCAGACTCTCCCAACCACTCAACTCTGCTAATCACCTCAGTGTTCTGGGTGAGGCATGGAAAGAATGGGCCTCTTGGGCAGCATCCAGCATGGCTGGGCATACTGGTGCCCCTCACTATGCTTGTACTGATTGCCATGGGATAAATTTTGGGCAAAAGCAGGTCTCTTTTGGTACAGAGCTGTACTACCTTAGTGGGAGGTATGAGGCAGGTGAGGACTAAGCTGATTTTTTTGATCTTGCTCAAATTCCGATCTAAGGAGCCTGGGGAGTCATGCCCTGCAAACCAGAAATTCTCATCAGATGGGGTTTATTTTAATCCTGTATATTGTGACTTACTTTGCAATCTGACTCTGGCATAAAAAGGAAGAAAATCGAAATATTTTACCCCAAAGCGTCTTTCTCTGCCATATCTTGAAATGGCCCTGCAAAGCCATCGCTTGTGGGAAAAAAATCCACATTCTACAGAGAATCCCCTTTACTCTTTGTTTTTCTTTCTTCCTTTCCAGATCCAAGAGATAATCAATTAAGAGCCAGGCGCCCTTTTAGGTTCAATAGGAAACATTTTACAACCTGGTCTCTCTGAAGTCTTCTATCTGAGAGATTTCTCTGTGCAGTAAAACTTGGTCTCTGCAATCCTATATCTTAACCGAAACATTTCCCTTCTATTAATCCCAGGTCTTCAGATAAACTCAACCAATAGTCAACCAGAAAAATGTTTAAATTTACCTATAGCCTGGAAGCCCCGCTTTGCGTTGTCCCACCTTTCTGAACCAAACCAATGTAATTCTTAAATGTATTTTATTGATATCTCTTACCTCCCTAAAATGCATAAAATGAAGCTGTAACACGACCACCTTGGGCACATGTTCTCAGAACCTCCTGAGGGCTGTGTCATGGGCCATGGTCACTCATATTTGGCTCAGAATAAATCTCTTAAAATATTTTACAGAGTTCGACTCTTTTCATCGATACAGGTAAAGTGAAACTCTTCTTCTTAACCTCTTCAGTGCACCTATTCTCGAGAATTTTGTTACAATGGTGTACTGGAACTTCTCTGCTGGACCCCCCAGGCTCCCATAAAGGCATTCTGTTTCATTGATGTTTGTCAAAATTGATGCTTCTATTGGAAGTTATGGTAGAAAACTTCTTTTCCACCATTTTCCTGATGTAATTTCTTAGACATGTTTTAACATACTTACCCATATGTACTCTATTTACACATAATGACAAATAATATTGTTTAACATGGTTAATATCTACATGTATGGTATTATAATTTTGCTCTTTGTATCATATTTATAAATGTTATTAAATATAGATTTTTACAGTCCCTGTTCTGCCTTTCCATAACAATAGTTTCAGAACATTCCTTTCCTCTCTGTTTCTTAAAATAGATTAAATAGCTTCAGAATTATTTGTTCATTGAAAAATTTGTGAGCATTCACGTATAAAATCTTTCTGTTGTCTTACTTTTATTTTGGCAAAGGAGGTAATTGAAAGTTGAAATGGTGAATAAAGATAATGGGAAATTTTAAAAATATATTTCTTAACTGTTTCTATAGTAATTGCTTGTATAGATTTTTCTGTTATTGTTGGTCAATGTTAGTATTTTATATATTTTGATATATCCATAAAATCTATTAATGTAAATTGAGAAAACTATTATATTAATTCCTGTGTTTTACATGTTGTTGATGCTTTCTGATGCATTTTTAAAATTTCATTCCTTGCATTCATCAGCTCTGGAATTTGTTTCAGCGATATCTTTTTAATGTAAAATTTTGCTTTCTTCTTTTATTTTGAAATTAAATATCTGTGTTTTTATTCAGTGAAAAATAGCAAAAGATTGTGAAGAGCTTCAATAGTCACAAATGACAATGCAAGTAAATTACGTACTTCTGTACATTGGAATAGGCACCCACTCCCATACCACCACCAAATAAAGAATGCTATAGGTTAGTGAAAGAAAAATTGTGAAATAATGAATGTAACATTCTATCATAGGCATAAAAAAGAGAGTTAATGCATTGTATATGTGAATAGAAAATATATAAGTAAATATATATATTATATATGTGTATATAAAATGTATGTATGTGCATCCATACACATATACATATGTACACCTCCATTGAAACTTACAAGTTAATGATGGCATTAGTTGCCTTCTAAGAGAAGAGCTGAAAACTAGCCAGGTGATAATAGTGTAAAAGATAATTTTCACTATTCGTCCTTTATATATTTTGAATTTTGAATTATGTTTATTATGTGTATGTATTACTTACCCCAAAAGAAGAAAATAAAATGTTCTTCCCAACTTTAGTTTTCTAATACTTGCTAGCAATTGAAACTTCTATCAGCAATTCATGAGACTACCTGTTTCACTGCACACTTATTAGTACTCAATGTTATTAATCTTGATACTTGTTGTCATTTTATAGGGTGAAAAGGATTATATTATTGCTGTAATTTTCATTATCTGATCTACTAGTGAGTTTGGACATCTTTTCGTATGCTTATTAGCCATTTGCATTTCCTGTTTTATAAATTGCCTTTTATATGTTTGAATTGTTCTTATTTTTAGCAATTTGCAGAGTTCTTTGTGTATTAAAATTATTAGCATTATACCTTCCCCATTTCATGCAGTGAGCGTATATAGTTTTTATAATAAGATAAATGTAATTTAAAATTCTATTGCCTAATCATTTAACAAATTTCACAGATAGTGCTTAGTGGCAATAAAATATGAAATAAATTCTTACCTTTTCAGCATTTTATAGTTAATAGAGCTTTATCATGACATTCCATTTGGAAAAAAAATGCTTACTTAATTTTTGAAGGTGACTCATTCATAATTTGAAATTTAAAGGATACAAAAGTATATGTGAAATCATTTTCCTTGACCTCGAATGGCTGGGTCCCCTTTGCTAGTCAGCATTATTAGAAATTTATGGTATTCTTTCAGAGAATTTCTGCATATAAAATTAAATGTGTATAATTTTCCTCTTTGGGAAACGTACTAGAGACAATATGCTTCTCCTTGCATTTTTATTTAATTATGTGTCTTAGAAAACCTTCCAGATTAGTATGTATAGACACAGAATGGTACTCTATTTTATGGATGCATTACAATTTATTTAGCCAGTATCCATTTAACAAATACTTAGACTCTCTACGACTGTTTGTATCTTCCCTGAATTCATATGTTGAAACCTAGTTTCAATGCAATAGAATTAAGACTTCGGGCCTTTAGGAGGTGAAAGTCATGAAGGCGGAGCCTTCGTGAATGGGCTCTTATAAAAGAGATCCAAGAGAGTTAAGGAGCTCTTTCCATCATGTGAGGACACAGCTAGAAGGCTGTGCTATGAGAAATGGGCTCTCATTAGACACTGAATCTGCCAGTGACTTGATCTCCTGTGCCTTCCAGTCTCCAGACTGTGAGAAATAAATTGGTGTTTTTTTAAACTACCCAATTTATGATTATTTTGTTATAGCAGCCCAAATGGACTGAAAGCCATACAGAACTTAAATATTACAAACAGTTGTGTAGAGAAAAATATTTTACATTTATCTTTGCACATTGTGAAACTATAAGATCTAAGAAAGAAAAGCACTGGGTCAAAACTTATATATGTTTTGCATTTTAATAGACATTGCTATATTGACCTTTCTTTAATAATGGCTATTTTCACATGCTTGCCAGTTCAATGAAATATCAGACTTTTTATTTTTCATAAATCTGATAAGGGAAAGATAACATATTTGCATTTATCCTATTATCATGTTTAACTAGATATATTACAATATTATAGTATATTATACTATAGTCATATAATGTATTATATTATATACATAGAAAACTACTTATATGATATATAATACCATTTGTAATTCCTTTTCTTCGAAATGCCTATTTATGTCTTCCAGGCTCTAGGTCACTTTCTATTTTGTTAGAAAACACAGAATACACACAATTTTAATTTTGTTCTATTTAAAACATATTCTACTTTATTGCTATATTTATGACTATTCACTTCTTTCAGAATCATTTATGGAATAATCCAACTTTTCTTATTGAAAGGGAGACTAAATTTTACACTATATTTTCTATGTTCTGGGATCCTTCTCTAAGATTTGTATTGTTTTATTGATCTGTATGTTGATTCAGACTTATTACATATGTTTTAATCATTGCAGTTTTATCATATTTGCATATATCCTTATAGTGTAAGTCTCTCCTTGTTGTTTTATATTTCTATGAAAAATATTGCCAATTTATGTGTATGTATGCATTTTGACATTAGTTCTCTAAATACTGCTCTCCACTCATAACAAATTTTGATATTTATGAGCAGAAAAATGGATAAATATATTACTGTAGTCACACAATGGAATACTAGACAACAATAAACACAGTGAAACGCTGCTAATGTAACAAAGCTAATTGTTAATGACACAGGTTAGAATAATAGTTTCTTTGTGAAAGGTGGGTGATACTAAATTAGAAATGTTACAAGGGAATTCATTAGGGTGATGGGACAGTTATATATCTTGACCGAGTGACAATTACTTCATTGTATACCCAAATACCTCATCTGTTGATCATATACAAGTGAAATGACAAAGTGGTTGTCTACACATGTAATCTTGCTTAGTAAAGTATTTAGCATTGTTTGCATATTTAAAAAATTGTTTGAATTAAATTATAAAGGATTTCCTACAACCATCCATACTTTAGCTCTATGACAACACAGGAAGTTTGGCAACTTGGGCCCACATTCCTACAAGGCAATAATCTGTTGAAGCTATGCATAGTTTTCTGCAATAACTATTGTCCATTTCACCCATTCCTTTTCTTGAATTTCAGCTTTTTAATATCATTTATTTTGCTGAATTTTGTGTGCTTGTTCATCCTTGAATTAGCATTTGCATTTTTATTACTGATCATTTGTTATGAAGTAAACCTCATTTGTAATGCCCATTAAATTCTGTGTTTTTAAAAAATTTGAGATTATAACCTTGTCCTTGAATCCTTCTTTAATCAACCCAACTCTCTAAAATCTATTTGAATACCATTATAAGTATATTTAATCTGATTATCAATTAGTATGTAAAATACCTATTGCTTATTGATTTTAATTCAAATACATGTTCTATATACTAATTGGATTATAGCAGTATTAAAAATGAATTGAGTTTTAGATCATTCTTTTTCCTTAGCGCTTACAGAAAGTTATGTCTAGTTAGTAATATTCGAATTGTTTGAGCCTTAGACACTTTAGAATGAGTATTTGAAAACCTAAATATTTATCAGAGAGTTGGCAATGGAAAAATTGCTACTACATTCTATTATTGACTGCCCTCTTCAAGGTAGAAAAAATGTAATGTGTAGACAGATATGTTTTGTTATAATGATTTATAAGAACTATGGCTTAGATCTAAATGTAGTAAAATTCAGATATTAACGGTTTTAAAACCAGGATACGGATTTAGAGAAGAATAAACAAAGTGCTTTGGTTCTGAAAGTCTGCCAAATAGAGGAGGATGATGCAAAACTAATTTTTATAAAATGGAAATCAATACATTTTGTGGATTAAAAAATGAAATAGCTGGATGCAGTGGCTCATGCCTATAATCCCAGCATCCTGGGGGGCTGAGGCAGGAGGATCACTTGAGCCTGGGAAGTAGAGTCTACAGTCAGCTGTGATCACACCATCGTACTCCACCCTGGGCATCAGAATGAGGCCCTGTGTCAAAAAAATGAAAATAAAAAGCAAATTGATGTCCCCCTTGCTTTCCAATACAGAATCATAGAGGAAAAGACTGTGTAACATTCACAGTGGTTTGTCCCATATCAAATCACTTCCCACAGAGGATTAGTCCTCATTTGGAATTTTTTTTTTTACTTTATTGTGTATTTCTGTAAGATCTGTCATTACTAGGTAAGCACCTTTCAATATTTTATATTTCCTTTTATTGATATGATGCTAAAAGTAGTCATTTATATTTTCCAATTTAGATGGCATCACAAGATTATAAGTCCTTGCTCTCAACTCCTTAATGAAGTGATTGCACAACTACAGCTTGTTGTGGCACTGATTCTGAGCACAATCTTTTCTGTCTGAGGCATTCATGACAGACACAGTCACAGACAGCATGTATCCCATGGGACTAATAAATTAAAAGATAATGTGAGCGATATTGTACCAGAAAAACCATTACAGTGATAAACAGAAAAAGACAATTTAGCCTAAGTCTTTGAGAAATCTCAAATAATGCTGAGTACACTGAAAGGTTTAACTTGCCTGTGGGAAAGTCACTGAAGTCATCCCTAGATAAAAATCAGCCCTCGGATACAAAAAAGGCAGGTAGTGAGGTTGTTTGAGTGTGACAGTGACCTTTGGTGTCTAACTACATAGGTTAAACTAACTTCCTTAAAGCTTCATTTATGCCCAGACATGATCAATGCCATCTCCCATCTGTATCTGGAGATTAGAAATAGGTTATTGCATTGTAGTTTATTCTCTTCTCTTAAATGTGTATTCATCCTTTTTTTGTTTTTCAAATGCAGAGTTTTGACAGTATCTGATTTTTAAAAATATTTTGAAGTGGCTAAGGGAATACACTATCAATCTCAGCAGAAAATAATTAACTTTCTGTATGAAAATACAATTCAGATTTAAATGTGACTTTTTGATCTCAAAGACCTATGTTTATTAGCTTCATGTGACATTTGATAATTCACCTTGTTAGGAATAAATCATTAATTTTGAGGCATTTTTATTTTATGAATTTATATACAAGGTAAGACACATAATTACAATAGAATACACAAGTGTTGCCTTGGTTTTCATACATTTTCTAAATTATAGATGTAAAATATATATTAAAAAAATAAACGTGGCCAATTGGAGACATTACTCTGAAAAAGTAATGAAAAGCAATTTTAATTAACTGACACATTGTACTATTTTAGTGGTTAAATATTCCTTTATTAACTTTTAAAAAATCTATTTACTTAATAAACTGTTCTGATACATAGCTATTAGCTAAATAGGCAGAGCTATGATTAGTTTCAATATAACTGGGACTGTTATTTTAGGTTCAAATTGAAGGGGACTGTCAGATACCCAGAGATTTAGTCAATACCAGGAGAAAGGAGTGGGTGGAGAAGGGAAGAAAGTGGTAATATCCACAAGGTATGACTAAGTCCCCTAAGGCAACACGCTGAAGACATTTCAACTCTCATTCCAACTATGATGCACAAGTTGCTTATTATCTTTCTACAGTGTCTTTTCCGCCTTCAATTTGTATTCATTGTTGATTTAAAATTCATGTCACATGGAATCAAATATATTCGGCTGAGTCACGTTATTCCGTGTTATTTTCCCAAATCTTGTATCCGCTTCTGAAAAACCAATACTGGGAAAACTTTTAAGTATATACCATTAGAGATTTTATATATTATCAAAGAATGGCATTCAAATATATCAGATTTCTCTACCAATGCCTATTTTTGACATTTTTGAAAGAGATTTTTACAAAACACGTAAATGTTTTGTAGTTTCTATCAAATACAGGCAGAAACTAAATACAGTAAACTTCTAGAGAATGGTGATTATTTTTTTTTTGGTCTTTCTAGTTCCCCATAGTACCTTGTCCAGCCAAATGCACTTAACAATTATTTGTTGACCTAATTAAAATTGATACAATTATTTAGTTTTTGATAAGCTATTACTGTAATGAGCTTTAATGTTCATCAAAACATCAACTAATATATCAACCTAAATATTTCCAATGGTGCTTATCATCATCATTTGAATATCCTCTAGAACATGAGCTCTAATAAGGCAATGATACAAACATAGTGGAAAAACATAGTTAATTTGGGTCTGTGTTCATCTGAACTTCTGAAAGTTCTTGGATTATGGATCATGTAGAGAAACCTTAAGCATGCTTACTGTTTAATAGTTTGTCTAGACTCCTAACTTCACAGTATTTAAACTACAAAATGTGATGACATTTATAAACATTGTGGACCGAGACCTGGCAACAGTTCTTTGGTACCAAAACCTGTAGTAAACTGACAGAAATATAAATATGATTGATGATTTGGCTGAGGTATTTATGAGCCACTTAGCGAGAGAGGGATAGATCTTCAAATAGAGCCATATCTTCTGGTGTCCGGTCTCTTGGCCTTCAGTCCCTGAGGCTTGCCACCAGCTTGACTTGACTTGTTCATATGCATGTGTACATCAACAATCAACTGTCCTATAGCCAGGGCTGTCCTCATAGGCATGCAACCTCTGCAGTCCCACAGGGCCCCAAGCTCAAAAGGGCCCAGTGCTTGGTTTAATACTCTATTGTCACAGTCTTAAAATTTTTAATATAATTAAATTTGTATTTTCAAGTGAATCCCAGTGACACAATAGACCATGGTCGGGGTGGGAGGCAGAGGAAACTCAGTGTCAGTTTTTCATACAGTTTTGGCTCCCAAACACCTCAGGCCTGGCCACTACCTCTGCTTCCCTCCATCTGGGACAGCAACTGATCTTATCAGGCATTGGGGGTCAGGGGACTGGGGATAGGGAACAGGGGAGTCTGTTCTGCCAATGGGGGCATTCTGCCATTGCCCTCTGCCCTCAGTGGGGACCTGAGTGGAATCCAGAAGACCTGGGTCAGAGTTGGGTGCATGTACTCCAGGGTGTCTCAGGGTAAGTTTGGGGGTGGTACCTCTCCCCTCTGCCAAGGGCTGCCCAGTGCCCTGGTACATCCAGTAGGCAGCTAGAGGCCATGTCTTAAAGTTGGATGGAGTAAGCCCTTCTACCATAGTTTGGAGCAGCAAACTACTGAAAGCTGGGAATGTCTGGCTCAAATTTCCCAGAGCCTGCTGCCAGCCCAGTGTTGTGCATTAGTCTGGCAACTCATGGAAGGGGGAAACTGGATATACTTAGGTCCCAGCAAGTGCCTGCTAGATGCCTCCAATCTTGGGTTGGGCATCCAGGAGGCAATCCTCAGTATTCCCATACCCAAGGCAGCACCCCTTCGAGGTGGCTCTATGCCTGGCCTCGACTTTCTTTTCCTCCCTCCAACCCCACTTAGTATGAGTTGCATTTTATGTCTCTGGCTCGCTAGAAGTATCCTCAAGAAATGAGATATGAAATATAAACTGCTATTGTAGTTTTTCCAGATGAGTTAAGTGCCCTTATATTTGCATTTTAAACCAACATTGCAGACTATAAATCTGAATGAAAAAAAATCCATGCTAGCATTTTTCTTTCTTTACTTAGAATGATGTTAAATAACAAAAACACCATAATAAATTAAAAGAGAGACCACTGAAGAACGGAAAAAGCTTTATTTCAGGATCTTGGCCTGAATCTTACTGTCTGTCAGATTTGGCTGATAGATTGTACAGATGTATGTGGTTGGCTGATATGTGTAACACTGGGTAGGAGTGGAGATTTGGCAAGAGTTTCAATAAGAAGTCAACTGAAAAATACAGACTGGATTACTTTGGGTTGTTATAAATTTTCTTTATACTGTTATAAACTGTAGTGAGGACAAAAATATTATGGGGGAAGTATGGATTACAGACTTCATATTGTCCTTTTCATCTCTAAATTTTATCATTTTAGAACAGAAAGGCTGTTGTTGGCATAAGAAAAATTATCTCTGATGTGTTCTTCACTATTATGAACTATCCCTGAAACTTGCCTTCAAAATCTAGGCAGATTATAATAGTTCATTCATTTTAGTTGCAGAAACTTGATAGAGCTCCTTACACTTTTTTTTCTGACACAATTTGCTGGTAGCTTAGAGAGAATAGAGTGTTATACAACCTGAACAGATGAAAGAAGTAAAGAAAAAAATTAAAAAGAATTCCCTGATTTGATCCAATCACTCATCATACCAGTATTTTTAGTGTTAATACTTAGTATCCATATTGAGAGTAGCTTGTGAGCTTTGGTAATTCATTTAATAACTCTGAACCTGTTTCATTACCTTTAATATAGTGATAATAATGCTTCAATTTGTGATTAAATGCAATTGCATATAGAAAATCCCCAGAACTGCATACCAAATAAAATTTAATTCCCTTTCTGTTTAAATTACCTTAGTTTAATAACAACTTCATAATGCACTACCCACATGACAAAAACAGTGAACCTCTTATAAAAATAAATTATTATAAAACCAATTTCAGGAGAGTAATATATATGAAAAAGTAAGGAACTAATTAATTGATTAATTAATGTAATTCTGCTTTGTATTCTCCTTGAGGTCTTGAATCAGCCTAATGGGTCTAAGGACTAAGTTTTGAATTATCCACAAAGAAGGGCTTAGGCAAATGATTCTAATTATTTAGCTCAATATTTATTCAAATATAGATAGGACCTGAATGATATTACTTGATGATATACTGTTCACACATATATTGCCACAATCATCTAGGTGGGTTCCCTTTACCTTCTCTAATTGTTTTTGCCTCTAAGTAAAACAAAACAAGACAGATAAAAAACAGTTACCTTACTTTTTTTTTTTTTTTAGTTAGGGCTCAATGACTTGATAATTCAGAAAACTATATTCAGGCTGAAATTGGTTAAGGCTATTGGCTAGGTTCATAAATTATAAAACCATAATTCAATGGTTTAATTCAATGCAGTTGGTTCTTCCCCTTTCCAATATGACTGCTTGAATAAATGCTTGTTGATTCAATTTATTGATGTGTTTCTTTACTTTTAAATTCTTTCTACCCTCTCAACCACTTACCTTGTGCAGTAACCTACCCTATGGTCTCACTATCTCTAATTTATTTGTGATTCCAACTACATTTTTTTCTACTCTTTTGCTAGAGTCAACTACCTAAGATAAGGAATTGAAATCACTGGAATTTTTTTTTTTTTTTTCTTTTGCGACAGAGTCTCCCTCTGTCGCCCAGGCTGGAGTGCAGTGGCGCGATCTCCGCTCACCGCAAGCTCGCGTGCCGGCTTCACACCATTCTCCTGCCTCAGCCTCCCGAGTAGCTGGGAACTACAGGCGCCTGCCACCACGCCCGACTAATTTTTTTGTATTTTTAGTAGAGACAGGATTTCACCATGTTAACCAGGATGGTCTCGATCTCCTGACCTCGTGATCCGCCAACCTCGGCCTCCCAAAGTGCCGGGATTACAGGCGTGAGCCACTGCACCCGGCCAATCACTGGACATTTGAAGGGGAATAGAAAGCATTTTTCCAGAGTTTGGAATCAACCAAAATTTAAGACAGTAGAGAGCCAAGGGAAAGTACAAAAGCCAACTTTAATACTCATACAATTTATTCTAATAATATAGTGTTAGATATGCAGCCAAATGCGTTTATTAACACCACATACCCAAGTCTATCCCCTAGATTAGTCCACTTAAATAATAGTTTGGATTTATAGCTGCTGACTTTTACGGAAAATTGAGGATTTAAGGGGTTGGTGAAAAGAGCATATCTCGAGTTAATAGACTAGTCATATTAATACACTCATGTCAAACTTAGGAAATCAAATGTTTTTTCCCTTGCAGCAATATGTCAGCTTTCTCTACACCATTAAAAAGTCCTAGTAAAACGATATCTCTGTGAAGCACTTTATATCACTTCTATCTAGAATTTTCCCATGATTGCTTAAACCATCATTTCAAACTCTTTCCAGCCCTCAAATTCTTTCCACAGCATAGCATTTCATGAAGTGGTTCAACTTCACCTACTTCTCTTGACCTTAGTTGTTATACTGCAATTAAAATCACATTCTTCCACATAAAAGTCCTTTAACAGATTGATATGTCTCCATATCTATTCCCCTACCATGGTCTGAATCTGCAGTCATTTCCTTGGAATATTTTGCTTATCAAATTGTATTCTTTCTTCTCAATTTAGATGAGATATTGACTTGTTTGATTTTTACAATCAAAATTCTGAGTTATCTACCAATTAGGTGATAAAAAAAATCAGGCTTCACATATCACAATAAAAATCAACTATGAAGCTCCATCATATAGATTTTTGATTTCAGTAAAGGAGCTAACTCAATTAGAAAAATCTGAAGGTAGTATTTTGTTTTTGGAGAGTATTGCTTTTTTTTTTCTGGAAAAAAACGCTGATATTCCGAGAACCAATAATAAGTGTTAGGGTATTCTAGACATTATGGTTCTCATAAAATTATGAGAAGTGCCACAATTTTCTTGATGTGTAATTTTTCTTTAAAAAGGCAAAAAAAAAGATCTGACAAAACAGACTTCAAGGAAGAGAAAACCACAGGCATGAAAAAAATAAAAATGATCAATATTTTGAAGTCGTGAAGTAATATTTACTAATTTTAAAAACTGAACTTGATATTGCAAGGTTGAATGAAATAGAGTATGATACATGATGGGCAGGGGCAGCTGGCCAACAGAATGGGTTCCTCTCTGGTCACCACTGTCTTGATGGATATATCATGATTTAGAGTCTAATCCTAAGGTCTGAAACTCTCTGAAGAAGATCAGGTCCACACACTCAGTTTTCCATTTTTTTACACCAACCAAGGACACTAAGGCTGATGAAGAATATATGGAAATAAAAAACATAATCTTGCATGCTTTGTATATGTTCTTTTGAATTTTTCTGGGGGAAAGGAGGCTTACCTACTAAAAATTACACCAAACACAATATAATGGAGTGTATTAGGAATTTACAAATGCTTCAATCAAATTCAAGCCGTCTCTTGTTTTGGTGATGAAATATTAGTTCTGTCATTGTGCTTGAATTTACTTGTTTCATTTTTCGGAATACTTCTCCCATCTCTATATGATGCACTGGATATGGGCAAGATTTTGTGTGTGTGTGTGTGTGTGTGTGTGTGTGTGTGTGTGTGTGTATAATTTAACTTTTTGCTATAATTCTGACTGTAGCACTAGGCACTACCAAGGAAAGACCGTCTATGTGTATGTATCCTCCCAATACATACCTACTGTGCCAATAAATTATAACTAGAATTTTTAAAAATGGCAATTAGGGTTTATGCTCAAACATGAACATTTAGAGACAAAATACTATTAAAATTTGTATTTAAATCTGAAAAAGCTCGGACTGAAAAATTTTTTATGGTATAATTTCTACAGAAAATCAATTCCTTAGAACCTAATTTGTAAGAACATTATTTTTCTAGAATATGACATAACCGACATGCTATAATTATTTAGAAAATTGTTCATACATTTGAATATAGGAATGTTAAATACACATGGAAAAAAAGCAAATACCATTGGTCTTGACATCCACTGTCTCTGTGTTCTTTTGTTTTGGTTTGGTTTTTGAAATAGCATCTCACTTTGTTGCCCAAGCTAGAGTTCAGCGGCATGATCACAGTTTACGGCAGCCTCAACCTCCTAGACTCAAGTGATCCTCCCACCCCAGCCTCCTGAGTAGCTGGGACTACAGGTGTGCACCATTATGCCCAGTTAATTTTAAATTTTTTTTTTTTTTTTTTTTTTTTTTTTTTTTGTAGAGACAGGTTGCCCAGTTTAGTCTTGAATTCCTAGGCTCAAGTGATTCTCCTGCTTAAGGCTTCTAAAGTGCTGGGATTACATGCATGAGCCACCACATCTGGACTCTGTGTTTGAATTATATTAGTTGAAGGAACTGGATATTAAGCAGATTTTCTCTCTTTATAAGAAAGAAAAGAACACTTTTATAATAGTTTTTCACTATAGGTATAAACAAAAACTTTCCTTTATGCAGGGATTTTTCTAATATATGGGATTATCTTGTCTATTTTTTCCTGTTCTACAATATTTAAAAATGTATAGGATAGTTATTATAGGTATTTCCATGTGACTCTAACTAGAAGTTCTTAAATATCATTTAACAAATACAGTATATTTATTAATTTTTTATTTTTAATCTAATTGTGAAAAATTATAATTATTCATCAATGATATTTTCTACTTTTTTAAACTTATATAAGAAGGTATAGAGATGGGGGACAATTACAATAATATACATAGTTATAGGTTCTCTTTTGATATTTTATGAGTAATTAACTTCATTCACATTTCTGTGAAATATATTTCTCTGCTCCTTGAAAAGTCGTAATAGTACATATGACTTGAACTTGGGAGAAATTTTGTTGATCATGGGCTCCACTCTTAGAATGTTTCAAAGTTAGCCACTTTGTTTTAAAGTTGTTTCTAAGACCTCCTCATTACACATACATTATAAAATTTAAGCTTATTGACAATACATATTTTTAGAATTTAAAAACTTTATTACTTTTCTGCAATAAGAAATTAAAAGAAACAACAAAATCTTAGAATATAAGACTGGTTAAGAAAATTTTTTCAACTTGGCATTAATGGACTAATCTGCAGCTACTTCAAATAATGAAATTAATGTACATGTATTAACATGGAAAATTACCTACCATATATTGCTATGTGAAAATAACGTTATAAAATACTATATGTGGAATGTTATAGAATACCATATGCGGGATATATGGAATACCATTTGTGTGTGTGTGTGTGTGTGTGTGTGTGTGTGTGTGTGTGTGTGAATAGTTTATAAAAATACATACCCAAGGCCAGGCACAGTGGCTCACACTTGTAATCCCAGCACTCTGGAAGGCTGAGGTGGGTGAATCACGGGGTCAGGAGTTTGAGACTAACCGGCCAACATGGTGAAACCCCGTCTCTACTAAAAATACAAAAATTAGCCGGGCGTGGTGTTGGGTGTCTGTAATCCCAGCTGCTCTGGAGGCTGAGGCGGGAGAATTGCTTGAGCCTAGGAGACAGAGGTTGCAATGTGCCGAGATCAAGCCCTCTGCCCTCCAGCCTGGGTGACAGAGTGAAACTCTGTCTAAAAAAAAACAAACCAACAAAAAAAAAATACACACCCAGATGCCAACTGTGCATACCTCTGTGTAGTGGAATGTGGGAACAGGCTAGGAATCAGAGGGCTTATACTTTTTACTATGTAACATATGCCTTTTTAAAAATCAGACTGTGAATCATTTCTATAATTAGAATTTTAATTTGAAACTTATTAACTCTTGTATGCTGTATGGATTTGTGACCACCATTCATTAAATTCAAGTTCTCTCAGGGATTTACAGTTTAGTGGTAGAAAACCATAAACTGAGGTCAACTGTCTATCAAGTGATAGCTGAATCTGAGGCCTTCAAATTTACCTTCTGAAATATGCTGGGATTTCTGCAGCATTTCCACATGATAGTATAAAATGTCAGCTCCTGAACTTTCTAGTGATGGATGAAAATTATTTGATGGTGGCAACTTGGCATTAAATATCTAGCTTATATTCAGAATGGCCACCATCTATATTTTTACACTTCTAATGAACTATTTTCCCTCTACTGTATTGTAAGAATATTCTTTTGCACCTGCTAGAGGCTGTTTCTTGCAAAATTAGGCACTTGCTCATGAAAATGTGTAATGAGCATGGAATTAGTTACCTATTTTCTATGTAGATAGGTGACTACACAATTAAATCTTGGCACTTTTCTGATAAAAAAGTTATGCTTAAAGAAAAAGTTATCAGTGTAGGTTCTGAAGGGGTATTCAGTTGAAAAGTAACATTCCTACCTTTTAGAATTCCTTTTTTTCTCAATATTTTTTCTGTAGTGTTACAACCAGAATCATGTGCCAGTCTGAATATTTTCACCATGAATACTTATTAATCATTAATGTGCCATTGTTAGAACAGCTTCCACCTCTCTGGCTTTTCTTCCACTCCACTTTCTATTCCAGTTTTACCATCACTTTTTCTGATTACTCCATGATACTTGGAACAGTGTTTTTGGCTATAATAAAGCAGGAGGTTAGTGCTATAAAATTGTTGAGATAAAACCTTTGGCTAGTTCCACTGGACCCCCTTCCATAGGTGAGTTTGGCAATATGTGTGAGCAGGAGAAGAGGCTCTAATGCACTCCGCCTGACTCATTTCAGACAAGCCTCGGTTTGTGTCATTTGGGGCACATGACCTTGTGTGTGGAGGGTATCCTCTATCTCCAGGTTTGCTCCCCTTTCAAGTCATGAACCGCAGATCTTGCCATCCACACTTACAAGTCTACATTTATTGCAAATTCTTCAAATGGGTGACATGCTTCTTGAGAGCAGGAATACATTCTGTGCTATTTATATTAAACATACTATTTGTAGTATTAAATGTATAAAATTAAACATATTAAATGAAGATGAACAATATTATAGGATAGTTATTAAGAACACAATGAATAAGAACACAGTTTTTTCCATTTTCCTTGGCTCAGCCATTTATTATCTTCTAAATTTTAGCCAAAGTTGAAGGCATCTCAAAATGAAATAATAACGTGTGCCCATATCAAAAATAATGTTGTGATATTTGAAAACACACATAAAGCCCTGAGAAAAATGCTGGGAAGAAAAAAACCTATAAGCACTGAATATATTTAGTTATTACTAGGCATTATGACTTGTGGTAAACACAATAAAACTTTTGAACTAAATTTACTCAAAATATATTTTATTCATTTGACTACTAATATCCAGTATTATACAAAGATAGTCACTATAATGTTCATGGAGTACATGTTAGCAATTTTAAGTTTATACTTTTGTTTTTAAAAGTGAAGCAATTTGGGATAGTTTCTTAAACTTTTCTTGATTCAAATGCCCACAACTAGCCCTAACTTTGTCAATGACTTGAGAAAATTATTTTCTGTATATACTGAAATCGATTATTTGAAGGAAGTGTACCAGCCTACATAGAAGCAACCGATGAAAATTATTCCTAATTATTGGGTTTTTAAGTAAAATGCTTAGCTGTATTAGGGCCAGACTTTTAAATAGCCAAGTACCTAAGCATTCTAAATCTAATTATTTTTACTGTCCTTAAAACCTAATTACACCAAATGATTTAAGGCTATTTACTTTAAATATTGATCTGCTATGGCTTATTTCATTTTATAACAATATTCTCCAAATACCTTCTAAGTGTTAGAAAAATCTATATCTTAAAACACAAAACTGTAACATCATTTTTATTATTGCCTGATTTTAAAATTCTAGATTACAACCATTTTAATTTAACCATGCAACTATTATTGACTTTCTTGCTAAGAGATATCTAATGACAAATGTAAATTGGTCTTTGGAAATGTGTGTATAATTAAGCAAGCACAAATGTGCCCTTCAAAGAAAATAGAAAAAGTGCATGCAGCTGCTGCCTAGTGTTTTCAAAAAGTATGAAAAAAATTATAAGGATAAAATTTAAAACTCTAATTTTATACCACTGTTGTTGAAATATTGATTTGTAAACATTGTGATTCTACTGTTGCCGTGTCTTCATTCTATGGTGAGTGAGATTTTTAAAGACCAAATACACTATGTAAAAAAAAGTAAATAAGTTTAATGTATAGTTATATGTTCTTTGATTATAAAACTCCTACTTCATTAACTTTATGTCCATGTTTTAAGTGAAAAATATCCTTTGAATTCTTCTTCTGAAACAGAAGACTTCATTTGCCTAAAATCTAAAACAAAATTCCAAGTAGTAAAAATACGAAAAAAAAGTCTATTTGTCTTCTAATATATGAATGTGTGTGTGTATATCACTGTAGTTCTAGAAAAGGAATTACTTTCTGATATTTGGTTTGTTTATACATGAGTCTGTTGTTTTAAGATTAAAAATGATGTAAAGTTTATTGTTCGAATAGTTCCTTGTTTAAATGTGTACTGTCATGCATACTAAAATAAAGATAAAATTTATGTAAACATAAGATTGGTTTGTTCAATTATTATATAAATACAAAATATCTTTGATTTGTTAGAACAATTGGGGTTTTGAAATAATCTAACAATATCATTATATTTCCCTACATGAAAAAATGAAATTACTAAATCATACAGTAGAAATTCAAACTATTAGCGAGATTAAATGAACTATACTTTAAAAATATGGAGGTGGCATTTTTGATGTTTTAAAATTATTAAGAATATGTATATATGAACATCAAGAATATTATGATATGTATTCATTTAAATTACAAAATGATCCTATAAAAATTATTTAAAAAATGAATTCTAACGTATGTAAAGTTTATAGATGATTCCCTATTAATTTTAGAAAAATGTTTGATTGCAAACTGTGAATTTCAATACATTGGACTTTAAAGCAAATTGATTTTTAGAGTTAACTCATGCATGTTTATCAGGCAACAATCAAGATATTGTTCCTTCTCACATGAAGCATATACATGCAGAAAGTTTACCACAGACAGGAAGATAAATAGTTCTCCTACAGGTACAGAAGGAAGGGCAAAATATGTGTTTGGCTCTATACGTCAGGGTTATAAGGTCTCAGTCATTATCAAATATTATCTTTGAAGGTTATAGGGACATTTTCTTTACTCTTTCTCAGCAATAAATTTTTCTGTATTAACTCCATTAGTGGGCAAGCAGAAAAGTTTAGCATGAAAGATTAAAACTTCCAGCTAATATCACCAATTTTATCTGAAAGCATACCATGCATACACATTTACAAATATATATTATTAATAGTATGTCTGATGATCAAATCATAATTGTCTACCTTTATGAAGAACAATGTGATGTTTTGATATCTATATACAGTACAGAGAGATTAAATCAGGCAAATTAACATATTCATCACCTCTTTACCTAGAATATTTTTATGGTGAGACATTTGAAATTTATTCTCTTAGTTATTTTGAAATATATAATACATTATTATTGACTGTGTCACCCTGCTGTGCATAATGGATGTACTAATTTACATTCCCACTAACAATGTACAAGAGCTCTGTTTTCTTCATATCCTCTCCTATATTTGTTAACATTAATCATTTTGATAGTGGCCCTTCTAACAGGTGTGAAGTTATAGCAAATTGTGGGTTCGATTTTCATTTCCCTAATCGTTAGTGATGCTGAGCATTTTTTCATGTACATATTGACCATTGTATGTCTTTTTTTGAGAAACATCTATTCAGGTCCTTTGCCCATTTATACATGTATTCATTTTTTAGGACAGAGATGTGGGGTTTTGTTTTGTTTTGTCTTAATTGGCCAGACCTAGGGTCCTGTTCGTGCCCTCAAAGCTAAAAGCACAGTGAGTACAAAACAAAATATGTGTACAGTGGAAAAGGACAAACAGGTCCTCTAAAGAAAAATTTAGGCTGTTTTTATCCAAAAGAAACAACTATTGAGTGGCCCAAACATAACATATGTCCTCACATTTCATTTCTTAACTCATAAATATTTACATAAGTCCATCATCCCATACATTTATTCTTCAAAAAGGTGGCCACATACACCAGTCGATTATGTCACACAAAAAAATAAAAAGAAAATATTTCACTTTTTACCCGAGGAGGTATCCAAATTCTCAACCTAGATACCAGGTTGATGGATACACTTTTCCGTCATGACTGACTTCTCACAATTGGCCAACTCGTGGTTCAATAAGTAATTAAATAAAAAGTAATCCGATATGTTTCATATGCTACTTTTATACTAAATATAGTAAAATAAAACACATTGAATGTTTAGTCAAGAGGAAAGTGTTCATTTCTTAGCATTGCTGCAGGATTACTACTACAAACTGGGTGGCTTAAATCATTCCCAGTTCTGGAAAATAGAAATCCAAAAAAAAAAAAATGGGCAAGGTCATGATCTCTATTTGAGTTTCAGGTTGTCAAGAGCAATCCTAGGCTTGCAGTGGCAGAACTCCACTATCTGCCTTCATCCCACATGGTTGACTTACCTCTGTGTATCTGTGTCTTCACATAGCAGTCTCCTCTCTGTGTTATCTCTTTCTCTGTGTTCCTTCTCTTCTTACAAGAAATCTAGTTATATTGAATTAAGGGTTAACTCCACTGTAGAATGACTGTATTAACTGGATTATATGTGAAAAGATCCTGTTTTCAGATAAGGTGATATGCACAAGTATTTCACATATTTTTCAGGGGAACAGAATTCAATTCACAATATTCATTCACCTCCCACCCATCATTAGTGTAAAATGATCTATGATGATAAAAGGGAAGCAACTTGTAAAGATTTGAAAACAGTAGATATTATATTCAAATGAAGATTTTCAATTTTACATAGAAATTGAAAAGGCCAAGTTAAAAAAAAAAAAACGTATTATGAGATTTTAGAACCTGTTTTTTAGAGGCTTTTGAACTGGAATGTGTTTGGTCTTTGGAGAGAGTTATTACAGTGTAAATTCATATTTAACAACTATATGCCATCCTAATCCTTCCTGCTGAACTGAAATTTCGTGACATGGTTTTTCAAGGTGATTACTCAAAGCTCTGTGAAACATAGTTGATTGATATATAAATATCGGAGAAATCAAAGGACGAGTGATTGGCTGGCTATTGGAGCAAAGGGGAAGTTGCTGCTTCACTGAGCAACTTGTTAACCCTTTTCCCATTTGCCTGGAAAATTCTCACCAGCGGCACTTGTGGCTGCAGTGTTTACCCCAGATAACTTTGCCACAAAATATCTTGCTTGTATTATTTTCACATGACTCTGGTATATCGACTTTAGAAACAAACGATCTTCTATTTATAACATTCTGTTTTTAGTAGTGGTATTTCTATTTACAAAACATAATAATTCTCAATCATTAAAAATGTCAAATCTTAGAAAACGTAGCATTCCTACGTGTGATGTAAACATCCTTCTCAGCGGATGATCAGTTGTTGGCTTAAGGTTCATTTGATGAATCTGATTTTTCTAAAATAGATGATTCTGATGATTCAGATGATTCTGTTGTTAGTTATGTTTAGAAATAACTCCAAGAACAGTTTTTATATTTTATTTTCACATTGCAAATCAGTCAGATTTACTTCAACCTCTAAGTGGTGTCTGTGTGTGTGTGTGTGTGTGTCTTGCTGTGTCACCAAGGCTGGAGTGCAGTGGTGCCATCTCGACTCACTGCAATCTCCACTCCCTGGGTTCAAGTGATTCTCCCACCTCAGCCTCCCAAGTAGCTGGGATTACGGGCCACGCCACCACTCCCAACTAACTTTTGTATTTTTAGTAGAGTCGGGGTTTTACCACATTGGCCAGGCTGGTCTCAAACTCCTGACCTCAAATAATCTGCCTGCCTTGGCCTCCCAAAGTGCTGGGGTTACAGGCGTGAACCACTGTGCCCGGCCAAAGTGCATATTTATGTAAAATTAAATGAATGCTGGGAGGGAGCTACAATTTTTCTGTCTTAAACAGGGGAAAATAATGCAATAGTGTTTTCATGGATAAAAGATGTGCCCTCAGGAGAGGCAGAATTGATATAGACCCATAATATGTTTTCTCCAAGAATGACCCTGAAATGGAAAATGAAGCTAAACAGGTATCAAGGGAATCCTTGCGGTGGAAGAAGAGTTTGGGATGACCTGAAATACAAATTAATTAAGGATTAATTTAGAGACTAATCACTTAGAAGGTTAGAGATCAAGAACCATGAGGGCGTCCCCAAAGAAACCATGAAAGTGTTCGCAAGGGAAAAACAATCATTAAATATCCAGAGAGCAATGGTAAAACCAACTTCCCACACAGAATGATGGCATCGATAATTTCTTACCCACCTCTACCCTAACCTCCAACTCCCAGAGGCATCCTAAACTGCAATGAGCAAGGCAGGCTTACCATTTATATTTGGCCTGAGCTAAGGGAGCCTAAAAAGAAAAGTTAAAAAGGAGCCTAAAAAGAAAAGTTAAAAGTTTTGATTTCTACATGAAACTGGGTTTTGTTGGATTTTGAGATATTATACAAACAGCCAGAAAAGGGAGTGGGCTTTTCTGAGTTCACATCTAGGTTCAAAAGCAGAGACAGTCCCACTAATTTTGAAGAAATGAGGGAAAATAAAAATAGAGGTACTTAGGCCCTCAGGAATTTTGCTTGCTTAGTAGAATGGTTTTTATAACATATATTAAATTCTATAGAAAAAAGATAGCCAAAATTCCCTGTTCTAGTTTTGTGGATAATCATCTGGGATAATACTCACGGCCACTAAGTAGCTTTCGAAAATTCAGCTCTTTTGCAAGCTACTTCATACTGTCTAGTGTGAAACTAAAGATCACCTTACTGTGGTCAGACTTAAAGAGTCTCTTGGCTTTGCAATGATATTAAACTTTAGAAGTCTTTTGATTGCTTTGTATCTTATTTTCTCAAATTGATTAATCCATGTGTGGTACCTATTCCATCGAACTGAGAATATAAAATATTAAATAAAAACAGATTGTAGTAAGAGAGTTAATTTGCACATCACCAATAAAATAAATTGCTTACAAACAAAGGCAAATACTTTGAATCAATTTCTTAACTATGTCTTTGAAAATGACACATCCCCCCAAAAAACCCATCTCTTACTTGAGATGTGGCTCTCATTTAACTGGAACAGAGCTAACATCTCAAACACTCAATAAGGCTTATCACAAATTTATTAAATTCTACCGAAAGGATTTTTGACACATACTTAGGCAGGAAACATGAACAAACAGTCAGAGACTTTATTAAAAATTTAAATGTACATTAAAAAAATTTAAAGGAAAACTTGTCCTTCAAGACTCATTAATTCTGTTTGTATTAAGAGACCATAATTTAAATTTAAACTCTATAAATCATTTATGTATGGTGGCATTATAATACCACAGCATAAGCTTATCAAAATTAATGAAGAAATTCACATGAGTTTACATATGTGAGGCAGTGAAGATAGGTAGCTATGAATTCATATGCATTTCTATTTCAGAGCCCTAAAAGAAGACTGATTTTTTTCCTATTAACTTTTTAATTAATCAGATTCAAACTGACCAAATATATATGCATACATATATATGTATATATATATATATGAATGATATAAATTTGTTTCTTCTGGTGAAAAAGTATTTTAGGTAAGAAGAATATGGCCATATGAAAGAATAGACATAGAGTATCTATCTTTTTCAACAATGAGACGAAACATTCACTTTGCTGAAATAATTGAAGTTCCATTCTGCATGGTTGGGGAAAGATGGGGCCATAATAGGGGTAATTTGATTCTCCTGCTAACAAGGACAGGGAATAAACTGAAATGTACTACTGCCTCTGCTGTTGTGGCAGCCATTTTCATCCACCTAACTTCTAAAATTTCAACAAAATTCACATTTCAAAAGACCTAGAGAAAAATGGAGTGCATCTTCAGGACTCTTTGATCCTTATCTTTACTTTTTCTCATTTGCCTTCTGACTTTGGAGATTAGACGTCTGTGGTTTTGAGTGGTCAGTGACATAAGTGGAGATCAGGGTAGAGTTCAGATAACCTTACTGATTGATTGTGGTATTCTAATGCTCTATGGTTATAATGTAAAAAGATTTCTCATGGAAAGTTAATAATTTTTTTAAACAGAGAGACACTTTGGAAAATGAATTTGTAAATTATGTAATTGTTCCCACTTTATATTTTGAATAAGATAGAAATGTCCATTTATAAGTAAGTAAAGAAATCTAAAATTTATTTTAGCAGACATTAAACTTTCAATAAGGTAATAAAAGATATCTTTTTGTGCCATTGACTTTCTATGGCCTTGAAAATATTAAAAAGTCCCTATACACCATAAAGTGTTTTATGAGACTGTGTGCTGTTCAGAGACAGAACAAAAAAACTATTGTACATTACAAAATGCTAGCCATAGGTATGTATTTACTTATTCTTAGATTATTCCATATTTATATACAGTTGAAAAATACATAATATGGGGATATAAATATACTACATTCAACAATATGTGTATCCTTTCAAAGAAATAAAACTAGACCTTGTGTTTTAGGCTTAAGCTAACTCAAAAAATGTATTTTGGTGCTTAAGTGAGCTCAGAAGTAATTAGTTTAAGTTCCTCTGACATCTACCATATTCAAGGCAAATAAAATACTGGAAAAATGTCTCGGAATTATTGGGCAGTGTGGTAAACTAGGCAGTGCTGATAACAAACATGTATTTTTCCAAATAAATATAAAATTAAAAGATAGGTAGAAATTTGGTCTATTAGTGTTTTAATGAAAAAATTCTGAATTATCTGCCTGAATCCTATATATAAAATTATAGAATTTTGTATTACTATAACACATACAGGTATACAATAAGTCCTCACTTAATACCATTGATAGGTTATCAGATACTGAAACTTTAAATGAAATGGCATATAACAAAACCAATCTTTTCTTTCTAATCAGCGTGATAACAAAATGACATTGAGTAAAACAATGTTATGTGAGTACCTGCTATATGTCATTTTTCTTAAAGTTACAATTTTCAAGTACCTATTTGTGACATTTAGTGAGGACTTACTGCAGTATATAAATAAATACACATGTAGATAAAAAGTACAGACATCAGGAACAAAGAAAAATATGATAAAATAATTTTAAAAATTCATCTCCCAGAAACAGCTATGCTAAATATTTTAGTTATATGTCCTTTCAGTTCAGAGGAAGAAAATACAACTGAAACAGCAAAGGTTGTGTTCTCTTTATGTGGTACAAAACTGGAAGTGATATACAGTCACAGATTGATAATATCTCCATATTAGATGGGACAATGATTAAACATTAATTTCTATAAAATTAAGATTTTGAAAATTCAAGGAAAGTTCAGGTCAATTTTCCATTGGTTAATGAACTCATCTTCAAAATCTTTGAAGACATTCATATTATCTTTAAATATTTATGGTGCAGAGCAACTCACAACTTTGAGGTAAGGCATGCCATTTCTATGAACACAATTCATTAATGCGTTTCATTATTAAACTCCTTTTCAGTCATTTTACCATTTATTCTACTCTGGTCTCTGGTATGACACAAATAAATTCCACTTTCACACCAGGATTAAGATTTATATATCTCAAAGCCTAATAGGTGCTTTTTCTTGTCTTCAGATTGTATAAACCAAATGCATAAAATTATTTTTTACCAGAGTCTTTTAAATAGGTATGGCTCATTTGACAGAATGGTTGAGCAAATTCCCAGTGGCTCAGTTTAAAAACTGAAGAGCTAAGATTTTAAATCAAGGCAACCTGGTTCTTAGTTCCATTCTTTTTAAAGCCAAATGACCAGTGGAAATCTATTTAATCTCTGTGACATAATTTCTTCATATGCAGCATAAGGATAATAATACTATATAACATATAGAGTTATTATAAAAATTACTGACATAACATGTAGCACATAGCACAGTATTTTGGTATAATGAATATTCAAAAATTCTATCCATTGTTTTCATTATATTTTTTTTTGCGGATACAAATAAAAGAAGAAATAAAGTAGAGTCAACTTCAATCTGTCAATAAACTTCCAAGAAATTAATTTAAAACATATTTTTAATAAACCTGATGAGCAAATAATTTCAATGTCACGAGAAAATGAAGCGGGTTAGATTTAGAATAAAAAGTTTTCACCTCTTGTTTGGGCAGGTGGAGAAGCTTTGTTCCATAACATCAACCAGTACCCTAATTTTTCTTCCCTAATATTCCTTCTCCTCTTAAATACTGTGCTTATCTAGATAGTCAGAAGAGGCTCTCCTGATTCATTTTCCAGCCTGCATGAAGGAAAAAGAGATAATGCCCGGGGCGAGCAATTTCATTTTGATTAAGTAAGTTGAAAGTTGCCCATACATGTTCTGCTCATTTTTCACTGGCAAGATTTTCATAAGGCCACACCCACATGCAAGAGTAGCTGAGAAGTAGGGTGTCTATCAGCGATGGGAGAATAAAAAGAATCAGTTTGAGGAGAGGAGAGAACTTCCATTGGGCCAAATTTCCTCATCTGAAAAACAGACTAAAAATAGTAGCCATCCTTTATCGCATGTCTGCCCTCCTGTCTCTATTGTGGTTCCAGTTGCTTTGTGTGTGCTATCTCTAATCCTCACAACAATGTGGCAAGAGAGACATCCTTCCATTACTGATAAAAATTTGAAATTCAATTCGTGAAAGTAATTTTCCAGTGCTCACAGATTTAGTGGCAAATGACACTGATAGTCTTAGTGTAGAGTAAGTAAGAATAATGTTAATCAAAACAAGCCCAAGGCATTTGGTTACCCTGAATGTCAATCATACATCTATCAGGAGGAGATTGGAGCTGAGTGCCTTAAATTCACATCAATATGATATGAAATAAATCATGTTTATCCATCATATATTTATTAACTGATATAAACAATGATGAATGCTATCAGCTGTGATGAATATATATAGACTCTGCACTCAGTTGACTAACATTAGGGTGTGTAACAAATAGGCTATTTGTGTATTTGATTCACTTACATTTTATATTATTTGCTCTCATAGCTCAGAACACTAACTTATATCCAGCTTTAACTCCCTGGCCTTTCCAGGCTAAGCTTTGAAATCAATACCAAATTTTGGATCTGATATTTGAGCTGAAGAAAATATTCATTCCCAAATACCAATTATCAGTGATTTTGCATGTCAATCTGTACTAAATCACAAAGTCTTTGGAGATTTCTTCCAGGTAATAGCCACCTCTTATTAAGACTGCTTCGTTTATTAGTCATTTGAGCACAGGCCTAGGCCTAATTGCTTTTCGCCGATGCGGAAAAATTTTTGAATCTGTAAAAATAAAAAGCATTGGTTCATAGCAGGAAAAATGTTACAAAATTAAACTGTATGAATATATAATTGTATGTTTACCAAAAAATTATATTTATCAGACTATTGAACCACAAACCAAATCTTATGTAGTTACACATAAATATCATTTCATGTGGAATATGAGTGAATTTCTATATGTTTAATATGATATGAGGTGGAGCTGCAAAAATTAATAAATAAGACCTAGGAAAATCTTAATATACTCTTACTACCTCCTGCTACTGGCAAAAGAAGAATCTTCTTTAAGTGCATAAGATAGTGATAGACACAATCAATTAAGTTCCTGATGTTCAGGAAATTCTAGTCAGTTGTATGTTACTGCTCTGCTTAAAGGAGAATAATGTGTGACATCTAGATTATCCTGAGCCATCAATAAAATAATTAATATTATTTTAGGACCAAGTAGCCTTGAGCGACTCTTCTATTACTGAGGCATTGTAAGAATTATTTCATTAAGTCATTTCTCATCCATAAAAGGAAAGTCAATATAATGGTATGGTTGGAAAGGCAATGAACTGACCCTTCAAGTAACTTAAGGTCTCAGTTTTCTCCTCCGTGAAATAAGAAAATTAAATTATATCAAGATATCTTATCTTGGTGTCTATGACCTATAAATGAGTTCCAGGAAATTCATGAATATCTTGAAATTTTATGTTTGTGTGCACTCTACTTTTTATAGAAAATATCCTTAGTTTGTGAAACATTATTAATAGAGATACAAAGAATGCAAGAAGTAGATAAGTGGCTTTGTAAATGTGTCATTGTGTATGAGTCATTATACATAAGATTCATTCAATAGTATATATTTAGTGATGATCATGTTCAAGGCAAAATGCCCATCTGTTTTGTATCTATGAATAGAGATATCGAGGAAGGGCCAGTGCAATATAACATTTTAATGTTTGTTTTTTTAGTGTTCCCTTTCTGAGTTATCTAATCCCTTCTATTTTCAGCAATAGAGTCATAGCTGAACCTAAAAAGGCATCCTGCAGGCCTGCATATATGACTGTGCCACTGAGCATTTATTCACGTTGATTGCTGTGCATGATCTAAGGAGCCTGTGATTACATGGTTTGTGTGGTTTGCGTACTGACACCTGGGGATACTTGTGAAGAAGGAGATGTAAAGTATACACTCCAGTTCTCATCAGCCTTCAGTATTGTTATGTGCACTTTTTGCATACGTGCTTATTTTTGCAGTATGAGAGGATTGAAGAAAGAGTTGACAAAGATAACCTCGCAATGTAATTATGAGGACATAGATACTGAAGCGCTTGTGCTGAGCCTTAACCAGTTCTAGGTACAGGGGATGTTGTAACATATGTGTTTCCTGCCATCTAGGTAGGAACTTGACAACTAGCATTATTTGGAAGGAACACAAACAAATATAGTTTCTGTTGTTACTCTTAATGTCAAGTGTGTACCTATCAGCTGCTAAGATATGAGGAATCCAGGGTTACACATTTTGTAGCCTTTTCCCTGCCCTGTATCGCCTCCTCCAAGATCTTTCCAATTCTGTCACAACTAAACTTGATATCTGTGAATCTGATCAAAGTAGCTGACGAAACCGCAAGATAATAATTTGTTTTACCTTTCCATTTTTTTTCCATTTGGTAGGTGAAACTTTTCTATCTTCAAGCTTTTCAACAAGATGCTGAAGTAACTAAGTCCAAATAGATAGATAAGCCCAGAAGTATACTTTCTTATAAAGAAAGCAGTTTCAAGTAATTTAAGCTTGATACTCAGTGATTAATTCCAGAAAGAAGACTTTCAGCCTTAAGGCATGTGTTTGATAAAGAAAATTCAAAAGGAGAGGTCACAGTCAATTCTGGACACATTTGAGTCTATTCCTTGCTAGATGACAGGGATTTAAACATGAATAAGATGTACTTTTACCTTCACGGAGCTGAATCTAACCATGAGAAAAAAAAAAAAAAAAAAAAAAAAAAAATATATATATATATATATATATATATATATATATATATATATATATATATATATAAAAGTAGACATAACTAGCACCTTTACCAAGCCCTGTCTTCACCAGGCAATGTCCAAATAACTAAAATAATTCCTGTGTTCCATTTCATATCCAAATTCTCATTTTCTCATGTCCTATTTTCAGCTTAAGAGTTAAAAAGGAGGCCAGCTGAATTTACATCATAATATTTTCTTTTCTCTTTCTTATTTTCAGATGATATAAATAAACTCCTTCTGTGTATCCCATAATACTTCAAATGTCCCTATCTTGTGGTAATTATATTAATTTAGCTATCACCTCCTATTGTTCCTGCATAAGATCAGTTAGTTTTATTTATGTATTTAGAGCACTGCCATTGTAGACTTCCTACAAATGTTTGATGACCGATTTAATTCATACTAAAAATCAGGGCTGACTGACAGTTATTAAACAGGCTGTTCCTCTAGTAGCCATTTGCTGCAGAAGAGCTCTCCAATAGCAATAAAAATGGTATAGAACAAAGACACCAGGGCATCTGGATGATTCAGCTATAGTGTGCTATTGGGGGAGGGATACACCTGGTTTTCATGAAGAAAAGTACAATAGGAAATGAGAAAGATAATGTAGCTTTTTTCTTTTATAAATAATTTTGAAGATCTTTTATGTACCTCTTGTAGTCAGAGCCATAGTTAGCCTTGTATCCCTAGGCCAGATGTTTGAACCATCAAACCCCTAAAGTCTTTTAGTGAAACTAATGCCCACTATCAACGAAAAAAAGTTTTTTCAAAAAATTTCATTTATTTTATTATTATCCCATCTAGCTTCTTAGATAATTCAAGTAAAAAAAATTATACATAGTTGTCAGCACTGTTGCATATTCAACAAATCTTTCAAGCTTACTGCTGAGCTGGTTCTTGGAATGAGTCATAAGCCCTACACCAGGTAAATTTGTCTATGGCAGGCAATATTGTTCTGAATCTTAGGGTTATCAACAAAAAGTATCAGAATCCATTCCGGCTTAGTATGATCAAAGTACACTATGATGCCTCCATAGATTTATGTTCTGTCTGCTGATGACAGAACAAAAGTTCTAATAACAAATTGCTTGCCAGAAATTCAAGTTACAAAAAGAGGAATTGATATTGCTTCTCCATTCTCCAACCAGTCTGACAATTACCCTCTTCCTGTCTCATTCAAACCCTTAATATTTATGTGCAAGAAAGATTTGAAAAACTTATCAAAATGTATTTTCTTCTCATCTTTCTCAAATCCCTCTTAAATAAAAAGAAGATATATGAAGCAATCACATAAATATATGTTAAATGGGCATAAGTGCTGAGTTAGCAAATAAAGTTTTCCCTAACCTTTTATGTACAATAGGGGCTTTTAGACTTTATTTTAGTTTTTGAAGTTTTTTTCTTAAATTTGACATTTGTGATATTTTATTATTTATTTCTGTGTGTGTCATTTCGAAGAATAACAAAAAATTAATTTTTATTTAATAAATTTAATTTTATCTCTATGATGAAGATAGGAAGGTTACCAAAGATTCTTACCATATGAATCCATTATATCTTTTAAGAACATAAAACTCATGATGAGGTTACAGTAAAATTTTTTTTTCTACATCTTAAAACATTTTACTATTTTATCTTTTGGGAATTATTTCATTATTATTTATCAATTATTCCCAACTAAACAAAAAATACTAAAAATAAACAAATGGTAGAATCATAAACTTTTCTGGAATAATGATGAAATACTGAAATAAATCATCATTATTATATTGTCCTTCAATTTTCTTTCATTTTTTAACTTTTATCAGGGGTACATCTCCAGTTTGTTATATAGATGAGTGTTGCAGGGGTTAAGTGTACAGATTATTTAATTACCCAGGTAATAAGCATAGTATCTAATAAATACTTCTACAGTCCTCACCCTCCTCTCAACCTCCACCCTGAAATAGGCACTGATGTCTACTGTTCCCTGCTCCATGTTTGTATGTGTTCAGCTTCCACTTACAAGTGACAACAGGTGGTATTTGGTTTTCTGTTCTTAAGTTAGTTCACTTAGGATAATGGCCTCCAGCTCCATCCATGTTGCTGCAAAGAACATGGTCTTGCTCTTTTTTATGGCTGTATAGTATTCCATGGTGCATATGTACCACATTTTTTTAATCCAGTCTAATGTTGATGGTCATTTAGGTTGATTACGTGTCTTTGCTATTGTGAATAATGCATCAGTGAACATATACATGTACGTGTCTTTATGGTACAATGATTTATACTCCTTTGGGTGTACATCTAATAATGAGATTGCTGGTTAGAATGATAGTCCTGTTTTAAGTTCTTTGAGAAATCACCCAATTGCTTTCCACAGTGGCTGAACTAATTTGCATTCCCATCAAAAGTGTATAAGCATTACCTTTTCTCTACAGCCTTGCCAGCATCTTTTATTATTTGAATGTTTAATATTAGCCATTGTAACCTAATGTGAGATATTATCTCATTGTGGTTATGATTTGCATTTCTTTAAGTATTAGTGATGTTGACCATTTTTTCATATGCTTGTTGGCAGTGTGTTTATCTTTTTTGAAAAGTGTCTTTCAGGTCCTTTGTCCACTTTCTAATAGGGTTGTTTGTTTGTTGCTTGTGGTTTAAGTTCCTTACAGATTTTTTGTATATTACATCCTTTGTTGGATGCAGAGTTTGCAAATATCCTCTCCCATTCTGTAAGTTGTCTGTTTGCTCTTTCGAAAGTTTCTTTTGCTGTACAGAAGATCTTTAGCTTAATTAGATCTCATTGGTCAATTTTTATTTTTGTTGCAATTATTTTTGACATCTTCATCATGAAAAATCTTTGCCAGGGCCTATGTCCAGAATAGGTTTTCCTAGGTTATCTTCCAGGGTTTTCATAGTTTTATATTTTACATTTAAGTCTTTAATCCATCTTGAGTTATTTTGTGTATGGTATAAGGAAAGGGTCCAGCTTAAATCTTCAGCATATGGCTACCCAGTTATCCCAGCACCATAAATTGAATAAGGAGTTCTTTCCCCATTGCTTGTTTTTGTCAACTTTGTTGAAAATCAGATTGTGTGAGTAGGTGTATAGCATTATTTCTGGGCTCTCTATTCCATTCCATTTGTGTTTGTGTCTGTTTTTGTACCAGTACCATGCTGCTTTGTTTACAGTAGCCTTGCAGTATAGTTTGAAGTCCGGTAATGTGATGCCTTCAATTTTGTTCTTTTTGCTTGGGGTTGCTTTGTCTATTTGGGCGTTTTTTGGTTCCATATGAATTTTAGCATAGTATTTTCTAATTGTCTATAAAATGTCATAGGTAGTTTGATAGGAATAGCATTGAATCTGCAATTGCTTTGGGCAGTATGGCCATTTTAACTATGTTGATTCTTCCTATCCATGAGAATGGAATGTTTTCTCATTTGTGTCATCTCTGATTTCTTTCAGCAGCATTTTCTAATTCTCATTGAGAACTTTTACCTCCCTGGTTAGCTGTGTCCCTTGGTATTTTGTGTGTGTGTATGGGATTGCATTTTTTATTTGGATCTCAGTTTGGGTGTTATTGGTATGTAGAAATGCTACTGGCTTTTGTACATTGATTTTGTATCCTGAAAGTTTGCTGAATTTCTTTATCAGATATAGGAGCTTTTGGGCAGAGACTATGGGGTTTAATAGGTATAAAATCATCATATCTGCAAACAGAGATAATTTGACTTCCTGTTTTTCTATTGGATGCTTTTTATTTCTTTCTCTTGCCTGATTGCTCTGGCTAGTACATCCAGTACTATGTTGATTAGGAACGGTAAGAGTGGGCCTCCTTTTCTTGTTTCAATTCCCAAAGGGAAATGCTTCCAGCTTTTCCTCATTCAGTATAATTTTGGATGTGGGTTTGTCATACATTGCTCTTATTATTTTGATGTATGTTCCTTTGATGCCTAATTTGTCAAAGGTTTTTAACATAAAGGGATGTTAAATTATATCAAAAGCCTTTTCCACATCTATTGAGATTATCACGTGGGGTTTTATATTATTATTATTATTATACTTTAAGTTCTGGGATACAAGTGTAGAATGTGTAAGTTCGTTAGATAGGTATACATGTGCCATAGTGGTTTGCTGCACTCATCAATCTGTCATCTAGGTTTTAAGTCCCACATGCATTATATATTTGTCCTAATGCTATCCCTCCCTTTGTTCCCCACTCCCTGTGGTCCTGGTGTGTGATGTTCATCTCCCTGTATCCATGTGTTCTTACTGTTCAATTCCCACTTGGAGTGAGAACATGTGGTGTTTGGTTTTCTGTTCCTGTGTTAGTTTGCCAAGAATGATGGTTTCCAACTTCATCCATCTCCCTGCAAAGGACATGAACTCATCCTTTTTTATGGCTGCCTAGTATTCCATGGTGTATATGTAACACAATTTCTTTATCCAGTCTATCATTGATGGGCATTTGGGTTTGTTCCAAGTCTTTGCTGTTGTAAATAGTGCTGCAATAAACATACATGTGCATGTGTCTTCATAGTAGAATTTTTGATTTCTGTTTACGTGATAAATCACATTTACAGATTTGCATATGTTGAACCAACCTCGCATTTCAGTGATAAAGCCTTGATGATCATGATGGATTTGCTTTTTCATGTGCTACTGTATTCAATTTGCTAATATTTTATTCAGGATTTTTGCATCTATGTCTATCAAGAATACTGCAGTATTATTCATAATAGCCAAGATTTGGAAGAAACCTATGCATCCATCAACAGTTGAATGGATAAAGAAAATGTTGTACATATACACAATGGAGTACTATTCAGTCATAAAAAAGAATGAGATCCTGTCATCTGCAACAACATGGATGGAACTGGAGATCACTATGTTAAGTGAAATAAGCCAGGCATAGAAGGACTAACATTGCATCTTCTCACTTATCTGTGAGACCTAAAAATCAAAACAATTGAATTCATGGACATAGAGAGTAGAAAGATGGTTACCAGAGGCTGAGAAGGGTAGTCGGGGACTGAGGAAAACATGGGGATTGTTAATGGGTACAAAAAAGTAATTTAAAGAACGAATAAGACCTACTATTTGATAGAACAACAGGATGACTATAGTCAATAATAATTTAATTGTACATTTTAAAATAACTAAAAAAGAGTATTTGGATTATTTGTATCACAAAGGATAAATGCTTGAGGGGATGGATACCCTATTCTCCATGATGTGATTATTTCACACTGTATGCCTGTGTCAAAATATCTCATGTACACAGTAAATATATACCTACTATGTACCCACAATATTTTTTAAAGATAAGAAGTGTTTGGGACCATGAAAATGATAACTTTATGGGGAGACATCTCAGCAGGAGATAGGCACTGAAATATGAATGCCTGAAAAAAATCTCTGAAAAAATGTCATACGTTTGTATACGGCTTTCATTTGCCTGAGAAAGTTTCAAAGGAAACTAAATTCTTTACTAATATTTACAAGTTGACCTTAATAATAAAGCTATACTTTAGTGAATTAAGTCACAGGTGTTTTCTAAGTATGTGTTAACAGTAAATCTTTTTTAATTTAAGGAAACTCTACAAATTAGTAGAGTTGTGGAGTTACTTGAGAAAAAAAAGTGGTGAGTTATTTGTGAAGGAAAAGTGGAATATGCACATGAGATTAGTAGTATCATACAGTCATAGGAAGACTCGAAGTTTTATCAGAAAGAATTATTTTTTGAAAAGGATAAATTCCTTGACACATACACTCCCCCAAGACTAAACCAAGAAGAAGTTGAATCTCTGAATAGACCAATAACAGGATCTGAAATTGTGGCAATAATCAATAGCCTACCAACCAAAAAGAGTCCAGGACCAGATGGATTCACAAGCGAATTCTACCAGAGGTACAAGGAGGAGCTGGTACCATTCCTTCTGAAACTATTCCAATCAATAGAAAAAGAGGGAATCCTCCCTAACTCATTTTATGAGGCCAGCATCATCCTGACACCAAAGCCAGGCAGAGACACAACCAAAAAAGAGAATTTTAGACCAATATCCTTGATGAACATTGATGCAAAAATCCTCAATAAAATACTGGCAAAACGAATCCAGCAGCACATCAAAAAGCTTATCCACCATGATCAAGTGGGCTTCATCCCTGGGATGCAAGGCTGGTTCAATATATGCAAATCAATAAATGTAATCCAGCATCTAAACAGAACCAAAGACAAAAACCACATGATTATATCAATAGATGCAGAAAAGGCCTTCGACAAAATACAACAACCCTTCATGCTAAAAACTCTCAATAAATTAGGTATTGATGGGATGTATCTCAAAATAATAAGAGCTATTTATGACAAACCCACAGCCAATATCATCCTGAATGGGCAAAAACTGGAAGCATTCCCTTTGAAGAGTGGCACGAGACAGGGATGCCCTCTCTCACCACTCCTATTCAACATAGTGTTGGAAGTTCTGGCCAGGGCAATCAGGCAGGAGAAGGAAATAAAGGGTATTCAATTAGGAAAAGAGGAAGTCAAATTGTCTCTGTTTGCAGATGACATGATTGTATATCTAGAAAACCCCATTGTCTCAGCCCAAAATCTCCTTAAGCTGATAAGCAACTTCAGCAAAGTCTCAGGATACAAAATCAATGTACAAAAATCACAAGCATTCTTATACACCAATAACAGACAAACAGAGAGCCAAATCATGAGTGAACTCCCATTCACAGTTGCTTCAAAGAGAATAAAAGACCTAGGAATCCAACTTACAAGGGACGTGAAGGACCTCTTCAAGGAGAACTACAAACCACTGCTCAATGAAATAAAAGAGCATAGAAACAAATGGAAGAACATTCCATGCTCATGGGTAGGAAGAATCAATATCGTGAAAATGGCCATACTGCCCAAGGTAATTTATAGATTCAATGCCATCCCCATCAAGCTACCAATGACTTTCTTCACAGAATTGGAAAAAACTACTTTAAAGTTCATATGGAACCAAAAAAGAGCTCGCATCACCAAGTCAATCCTAAGCCAAAAGAACAAAGCTGGAGGCATGACACTACCTGACTTCAAACTATACTACAAGGCTACAGTAACCAAAACAGCATGGTACTGGTACCAAAACAGAGATATAGATCAATGGAACAGAACAGAGCCCTCATAAATAATGCCGCATATCTACAACTATCTGATCTTTGACAAACCTGACAAAAACAAGCAATGGGGAAAGGATTCCCTATTTAATAAATGGTGCTGGGAAAACTGGCTAGCCATATGTAGAAAGCTGAAAGTGGATCCCTTCCTTACACCTTATACAAAAATTAATTCAAGATGGATTAAAGACTTAAACATTAGACCTAAAACCGTAAAAACCCTAGAAGAAAACCTAGGCATTACCATTCAGGACATAGGCATGGGCAAGGACTTCCTGTCTAAAACACCAAAAGCAATGGCAACAAAAGCCAAAATTGACAAATGGGATCTAATTAAACTAAAGAGCTTCTGCACAGCAAAAGAAACTACCATCAGAGTGAACAGGCAACCTACAAAATGGGAGGAAATTTTCGCAACCTACTCATCTGACAAAGGGCTAATGTCCAGAATCTACAATGAACTCAAACAAATTTACAAGAAAAAAACAACCCCATCAAAAAGTGGGCAAAGGACATGGACAGACACTTCTCAAAAGAAGACATTTATGCAGCCAAAAAACACATGAAAAAATGCTCATCATCACTGGCCATCAGAGAAATGCAAATCAAAACCACAATGAGATACCATCTCACACCAGTTAGAATGGCAATCATTAAAAAGTCAGGAAACAACAGGTGCTGGAGAGGATGTGGAGAAATAGGAACACTTTTACACTGTTGGTGGGACTGTAAACTAGTTCAACCATTGTGGAAGTCAGTGTGGCGATTCCTCAGGGATCTAGAACTAGAAATACGATTTGACCCAGCCATCCCATTACTGGGTATGTACCCAAAGGACTATAAATCATGCTGCTATAAAGACACATGCACACGTATGTTTATTGTGGCACTATTCACAATAGCAAAGACTTGGAACCAATCCAAATGTCCAACAATGATAGACTGGATTAAGAAAATGTGGCACATATACACCATGGAATACTATGCAGCCATAAAAAATGATGAGTTCATGTCCTTTGTAGGGACATGGATGAAATTGGAATTCATCATTCTCAGCAAACTGTCTCAAGGACAAAAAACGAAACACCACATGTTCTCACTCATAGGTAGGAATCGAACAATGAGAACACATGGACACAGGAAGGGGAACATCACACTCTGGGGACTGTTGTGGGGTGGGGGAAGGGGTGAGGGATAGCATTAGGAGATATACCTAATGCTAAATGACCAGTTAATGGGTGCAGCACACCAGCATGGCACATGTATACATATGTAACTAACCTGCACATTGTGCACATGTACCCTAAAACTTAAAGTATAATAATAATAATAATAATTTAAAAAAAAAGAAAAGGAGAACAGAGCAAATATATTGTCTTGTAAAAAGCCTGTTTTATACAATGAGTATGAATGAGATCCTGGCATGCTCAGTCTATGGTGAGAAATTGTAACTGAAGCTGCACTCGTTATATTTTATTATCATCTCTACTGTGCTATTATGTTTCTATTAGTAGTAGTTTGACTTAATATCATCAGTAGCAGTCTTCATAAGGAAAGAGTTTTATATTTAGATTGTAATTCCATTTATTGACATTTTAATATAATAGCACTTACAATATTCAAACTCTTTGTCTTACTTTTAATTTTGTTTATATTATGTCTTTCATCAGACACAAAGAATCATTATCTTACTTAACCAACAGACCTTGATTAGAAAAAAGGTAAACAATTCAGTTGACTATCACTGTCTTCAATTGGTTCTCAGTTTCCAACAACAATTGCATTGCACAACTAAATAATATGATACAATATGGGTAGGATAGAAAGAATAATTTAATAATGTTTAACCTTGGTTGCTAGAGAATCCAGAAAAAATCCAAATAAATTTTGTAAAACTTAAGTTGGTTAATGTTAATAATTCATTTTATGTAAAATTAAACTTCAATATAGTTAGAAAACAAAAGATTCAATTAAAGAAATCACTTATTGTATGCAAACATCTTCTGCCTTGTGTTTTACTGAGTTGAAAATAGCTGGCTTTGAAAAAGAGGAATACATCAAGTAATGCTTATTAAGGCCGGGCTTCCTGGGTTCCGGATTTGGCAGAAAATTGAGAGGGAAGTTCTGAAAGTATTTTCTATACTATGCTTCTTCTTCTTTCTTTATTTTTTTTATTTATTTATTTTTGAGACAGAGTCTCACTGTGTTGCCCAGGATGGAATGCAGTGACGTGATCTTGGCTCACTGCAACCCCAACCTACTGGGTTCAAGCGATTCTCCTGCCTCAGCCTCCTGAGTAGCTTGGATTACAGGTGCGTGCCACCACGCCTGGCTAATTTTTGTATTTTCAGTAGAGACAGGGTTTTGCCATGTTGGCCAGGCTGGTCTCTAACTCCTGACATCAGGTGATCCACCCCTCTGGGCTTCCCAAAGTGCTGGGATTACAGATGTGAGCCACCGCCCCAGTCCTCTACTTTTTATGCTTCTGAGCTAGATTATAAAGCATTCCCACACTAGTGTTAGAATTATCTGGCTTCATCGAAGGAACTTAGCAGCAGTTGGATATGCTTTGTGTTTGCCTGATGTTTTCTTTTGTACAAAAGTAAAATTCCTTCACACAGCATGAACGACACCTGGTTGTAAAGGTTTTGGTAGGGCTGCAACGAATTACAAAATACATAAGTAGAGTATAGGTAAAATATTAAAAGAATATTAGTAGTTTAGATGTCCGGCACCACATTCGTAGGTATAAGGATTAAAAATTTATTATTTTAGGCCGGGCGCAGTGGCTGACGCCTGTAATCCCAGCACTTTGGGAGGCCGAGGCAGGCGGATCAGGAGATCAGGAGATCGAGACCATCCTGGCTAACACGGTGAAACCCCGTCTCTACTAAAAAAAAAAAAAAAAAAAAAAAAAAATTTAGCCGGGCGTGGTGGCAGGTGCCTGTAGTCCCAGCTACCCGGGAGGATGAGGCAGGAGAATGGCGTGAACCCAGGAGGTGGAGCTTGCAGTGAGCCGAGATCACACCACTGCTCTCCAGCCTGGGCAACAGAGCAAGACTACGTCTCCAAAAAAAAAAATTATTGTTTTAATGTTTAAGCCACAGTCTTTTTTGCCGTAATACTTTTTCAATTTTATCCTCTATGCTGTAGTCAAACCAATTTTTCTGTTGTAGGGACTAAAGTCTGTCTCCTTAGAATCAGGTAGCATTTCATTTCTTCTTCTTTTTTTTTTTTCTTCATGAATTCTCTTCAGATTCTTGTACTTTTTATAAGATCATTCTGGGATCAGACTACACTGCTTTCAAATCTCTGTTCTTCACATCTTAGGTTGGTATCCTATAAAAATTACTTCATCAATCTAAGCCTCAAATATTTATTTTTAGCATATTATAAAATATGAGATAAATATACTGCACTATAATATATTATATAACATTATATATTATATAATGTATAATACAGTAGACACAATAATTAATTATTGTGTAATTAACACAAAATATTAATGTTATTATAAATATAATTAATCATAGGGACAATCTCCGAAGATTTGCACTTAGGTTTAAACTATGTATAAATCTTAACACATTTTCTGGAAAATTAGTACTCAAAACATTTAACGACTCTCCTCTTTCTTTTTATTTACCAACACTCTTCCCAACCCCATCTCTCACATATTCCCATGGCCCTCAAATGTAACATTTA
Organism: Homo sapiens; assembly: GCF_000001405.40. Taxonomy (NCBI): domain Eukaryota; kingdom Metazoa; phylum Chordata; class Mammalia; order Primates; family Hominidae; genus Homo; species Homo sapiens. Next base: position 38,939,050 of record NC_000011.10, on the reverse strand, counting down.
TAAATAAACACTCTGGGATTCTTGGAGCTTAGATTATCTAGAATAGATGGTAAAATGAGGGCAGATGGCTGTCAGAAACTGTGATAGCCAGCATTCATGAGGAGATACAGGGAATGGACCATGAAGAATTGTGACCTTAATAGGCTTGAGAAGAGACAGAAGAACAGAGTCTGTTAGGGTATGAGCTGCCTGGATATTACCAACATACAAAACATATTCCTGAATATTTTTCTCAGTATGTCAACTTGGCACCTGAGGGCACTTGAAGTTTTAATTATCAGACCCCTACCCAGACGTACAGGCTTAAAATGTTCAAGATCCTCTCTAGGAGATATTTTTTGGGCATTAGTCTCTGAGAACCTCTTGTCCAGTCATATCTCTCACTTAAAATGCTGCTGTGTCTCTGGAATAGGAGAAAAGAGCAGATAGCTGTTCTCAGGAGACTTAACACGGCCCTAGGATTAACTACTCAGTGACAGACTCCTTCTTCATGATATTGGCTCTTTTAATTGCTCTTTGCAAAACTGCTGTTATTGTCTAACACTTAAAGATACTTTGTTCCAAGAGAAGTAACCAGGCCTCCTTGGAGAAACTGCTAAATTTTCTGTTTAGGGTATACAATGAATCAATAATACATTGTTAGGTTTCTAACTGGCTAAGATATCTAAAAACAGTAACTGCAGTTGATTGTAGCACATTGAATATGTAGAAGTTCATGTGTTCCTAATGATATTAGAAAAGAGAGAGAAAGCCAGAAATTTCATGGATATATCTGAGTGCTTGTATTAGCCAGAAGATCTAGAAAGAAAATCGAAAAGGCAAGTTTTAACATGAACATCTCTTAAATTGATTATGTTTTTACTTTAATTTGTGTTGACGAATAGAATATCCCACTTCTAGTTAATGGACTTTTCAGTGTTATTCTTTTTGTTTTTAATCTTTCCCAATATGAATATGTTGAATCCTCTCGTTTTCAGTAATTTCTACTTCACTTTTAATTTTCTTTTCAAATTGCTGCAAATATCACTCTAAGGCAAGCTGTGCTTTTTGGCTACACATTCTGACATCCTCCGAGCTGTGTGATCTTAACAGGTACCATTGTAACAGGAAGAGAACATTCCACCAAACAGCATTTTATTGCTCTGTGAATCATATTCTCTGACATTCCTGCTGTGCCTCTATCATGCTCCATCTTAATTAGTACAAATATAGACTTCCTTGTTTTCACAGTCATTTTCAAATTTACTATAAAGACAACCCTAACACTACAAAATAGTTTTTGTCTTGAATTTACTTAACTATCATGTAAGAATGTCATTGACTTATGCATTAATTTACCATTCCTTTATTTGTCTGTACCTAAAAGCAGGTCACATACTCTTTCTGTCAAAGATAGATCATTCAGTAAAATAGAAGCCAATGTCAGCTCATTATAAAAAGAGAAATATGCTAAGAGTTTTTTAAAGTAATGTGTATTATAAACAATACTCATTATAATCATGAAATTATATTTCATAATGATAATTAGGAAAATGACAATGATATTAATTCTAGTTGTTTATTTTCCATATGCCCTTAACAGTGTAAAATGCTTTACATACAATATCTCAGTTATACTGACAGCAATATTATAACAAAGCATATAATCAGCTTCATTTCATTTAAAAGAATTGCTAGTTAGAAAAGTAACTTCACATATAGACTATTACACAGCTGGTAAATGATAGGGCTGGTATTACGAGCTGGCCTAAAACTTTTCTAATTATCAGAAATTACTAGTCATTATTCAAATGTACAAGAATAAGCTATCCATGTATGCATAAAATAGGAAAGGTAAATGAATATCTAGATAATCAGAAACTCAAATTCACTTCTTATATTAAAAAACAAAGATTGGGCCAGGCACGGTGGCTCACGCCTGTAATCTCAGCACTTTGGGAGGCCGAGGCGGGCGGATCAGGAGGTCAGGAGATCGAGACCATCCTGGCTAACACGGTGAAACCCCATCTCTACTAAAAATACAAAAAATTAGCCTGGCGTGGTGGTGGGCGCCTGTAGTCCCAGCTACTCGGGAGGCTGAGGCAGGAGAATGGAATGAACCCGGCAGGCGGAGCTTGCCATGAGCTGAGATTGCGCCACTGCACTCCAGCCTGGGCGACAGAGCGAGACTCTGTCTCAAAAAAAAAGATTGCTAGAGGCTCAACTTTTTTATGGATTGAGGCAAAACCTGTAAATATTTAATCATTTCTTTCATAACTGTTACTCACAAGTTTATTAAAACTTGGTGATTGTCATAAACACTGATTGCTTCCTAGGAAAAACTAGCTAAGTTTAGTAATACCTGTCTTTTGTTGTCAAATATGTCATCAGAAAAAATGTTTTATATTTATGTTTATGGATACATAATAGTGGTACATATGTATGGCATGCATGTAATATTTTGATACAAAAATAAAATAAAAATAATAAATATTTTTAAAAAGATATTTTGGAGAAATGAGGAAAAACAGAATGGTAATAAAATTGGCTCTTAAATCTATTAGTCATTATTTGTTTCAGTCTATGTAATGAAAGATTAACAACTACAAGTTTATACCCTTGTTTCTTAAAATGTAGTTCTTCACTGAATAGATTTTAGATTTTAGATTTCTGGTCCATGTCCTAGTAATTCAAAATTAAAGTTTGAGGCCTATAAGTATAGATTATTAACAAGCACACCAGGTGATCCCAGTATATTTGTTTGAGAATCAATGCTTTAAACTTCTAAGGTAAAATTAACATTCAGCCAGATTAAATTATCATAAAAATGCAGCAACTGGCAAATGTTTAATAGGCACCTTATTAAAAGAAGCTTTTCCTTTCACACAATGAGGACTCACAATCCATTAACCCCCATCTGTGTCTGCTCAATTCACATCTAGACTTAAAAATAAAAACAACACTTACATAGAAGAGCCTCAGGCCAGAAACAAAGCTCACAGGAGTTTACTAGTATCTTAAGGCTCAAAATATATGACATTGAATTAAAAAGCAAAAACATAAATAGGGTTGGGAGATGGAGAAAAAAAAGAATTTCCTCTTTTGCCTTTATCACAGAGATGGCAATAAAAATAAAAGAGCCTTGCTATTCATTTTGAACCTTTGAATGTGGTAACGTCCAGTGAATCTGTATATTTTTATATCCCCCCCAAATCAGCCAATTAATTGCTTTGACTTTTGCCTCCTAGAGAGAATGAATTCTTTAATAATAACTTTTAAAGAGCTATAATTTTATTCTTGATCTTTGAATGTTTCCCACTAAGCCTATTTCATGCTGATGCAGGGCCAGCAGCCCTCCCTCCTATTATCATTAATGAGGCTAAGACTCTCAGTAATGGGAGAATGACCTTGTTTAAACAGTAGTTATTCATCCAATTGGCTCTGATGAAAACGTGTGGAATCATTAATGGAATAAATGATTGCACAACAGATACCAATGGTGAAACAATGTTTATAAAGAAGGATGATAAAACCGTTGCATCCTTTCTCCTTGGAGTATCCAACCTAGAGTGGATAGTCATTTAATTTACACTTATATAAAGCAGCTACTTGGCATTTCAGCCAAAGGATTATGTCAGAAAACTGTTAATGGCTATCTGTAGTTTTAAAGAGCTCAGTATATTTGCTGCATAACCAAGCATCATACACATGGTTGAGTTGACTATATTATCTATAATAAGACTTACTATGGTCTATAGCTCCTGGTGTTCATACGCAAACCCAAGTTTATGATACATGAAGATAATCTAAATTATTCTTGCTGTGGTCTTTTGCTGCTTTTATACTTAAGTGTTTTAGGGGGCTTTCTTGCATTAAATATTTGAAAAATGTGTTCAATAATTTGGGGACAGATAAACATTTAAGTATTAGACATTTCAGTGTAATGGATTTATTTTATAGAATTTTTTATATTTTATTTTTATTAAAAATGATTTAATAGAATCCTATATGAAATCATACAAACATAAAACAAAATAGCCCTTAATTTTGAGTGGCTATTTATTCAAAAACACAACTTTTTTTTTTTTTTTTTTTGAAACAGAGTCTCATTCTGTCGCCCAGGCTGGAGTGCAGTGGCTCAATCTCGACTCACTGCAACCTCCACCTCCTGGGTTCAAGCAGTTCTTGTGCCTCAGCCTCCCAAGTAGCTGGGATTACAGGCACGCACCACCACCCTTGGTTAATTTTTGTATTTTTTTAGGGGAGACAGGGTTTTGCCATGTTGGCCAGGCTGGTGTCAGACTCCTGACCACAGGTGATCCTCCTGCTTCAGCCTCCCTAAGTGCCTCAGCCTCTGTTAAGTGCTGGGATTACAGGCGTGAGTCACTGTGCCTGGCCAACACAACTATTTTCTAAACAGTCTGTTTATAGGCATGAAGAGTAACTGCTATAAATGTTAAGATGGAATTAAGTTTTTAAACTACATCTGTATATTTTTCAGATTTCTTATAAACATGTGTTAAATTTAATATTTCAATGACATTTTATCTTCTAGATGCATTTTTGACCTAATGATTACAAATTAATTTTCTATCAGTCAAAATATTTGTGGCCTCATAATCCTTCTTTTTTCTAAAAGAAACAGAAAATTAGGTTTACATATTACAGGTAGTTGTTTAGTTTCAATTTTGGATATTATGAAAGTATCAGATGCAACAATTTATCTTAAAAATGTTTCCATCTCTCCAGGACAGAGGCATGGAAGCTGTCTTTCCTGAGTTAACTTAAACACAAAAGGTTACGTTTCTTAATTTTTATGGATGATTGAAGAAGTTCAACAAAATCAAGAACATGGTTTCACATATAGTTCAGATTAGCACCCCCTTCTCCAACTTTCCTATTGAAAAGTACATTCAATTATTTCTGCATTATAAAAGTCATTAATATTTTTAGTTTCTGATTTTTTTCTATTCTGTTTTTAAAGCTTTTTTTCCCAAAACATTTGTTAGGTTTTCTTGCTTCTCCATATTTATTAGATTTTTTAGTATGTTTTACTGTTTGTATTCTTCATTCTGATTCCTTGTGACTAATTGTTCTCTGTGACTAATTTGAATTTTGTCATGTATATTCTGTTCTATTTGACTTTCAGAATTATTAGTTTCTAATGAAAACAGAGACACAACATACCAGAATCTTTGGGACTTAGCTGAAGCATAGTTAAGAGGAAAGTTAGTAGCACAAAACACCTACATCAAGAAGTTAGAAAGGTCTCAAATTAACAACCTAACACTCACCTATAGGAACTAAAGAAATGAAACCAACACCAGAGCTAGCAGAAGAAAAAAAATAACTAAAATTAGAGCAAGACTGAATGAAATTGAGATGCAAAAATCTATACAAAAGATTACAGAAATCCAAAGTTGGTTCTTCAAAAGAATAAACATGATAGATCACTAGCTAGATTAACAAAGAAAAAAGAGAAGATGCAAATAAGCACAAAAGAAAAATCACAAAAGTGATGTAAAACTGACCCTAGAGCAATACAAAAAAATCCTCAGAGAATATTACAAACACCTCCGTGAACACAAACTAGAAAACCTAGAAGAAATGGACAAATTCCCAGAATACAACTTCTGATATTGAATCAGGAAGAAGTGCAAACCATGAGTAGGCCAATAAAGAGTTAGAAAATTGAATCTGTAATAAGAAACCTACCAACAACAACAACAACAAAAAGCCCTTGGCCACATAGATTCACAGCCAAATTCTACCAAACATACAAAGAAGAACTGGTACCAATCCAAATGAAATTTTTCCAAAAAATCAGAAAAGTAGGACTCAGCCCTAACTCATTTTACAAAACCAGCATGATTCTGATATCAGCTCCTGGCAGACAAACACATACACACACATTAAAAGAAAACTTTAGTCCAATATCTCTAATGAATATAGACCCAATAATCCTCCACAAAAATATTAGCAACCAAATCCAGCAGCACATCAAATAGTTAATACATAATGATCAAGTAGGCTGTATTCTTGGAATGCAAGGTTGCTTCAACAGATACAAACCACTAAATGTGATTAACCACTTAAACAAAATTAAAAACAAAATCAGGTGATCATCTCAATAAGTGATGATAGGGCTTTCAATAAAATTCCACATCCCTGTATGTTAAAGACCCTAAACAAATAATTAGATGTTGAAAGAACACACCTCAAAATAACAAGAGCCACCTATGGCAAACCCATAGCTGACATCATGCTGAATGGGAAAATGTAGAACATTTCCATTAAGAACTTGAACAAGGCAAAGATGTCTCTTCTCACCATTCGTATTCAACATAGTACTGGAAGTCCTAGCCAGAGCAATCAGGCAAGAGGAAGAAAGAAAAACCATCCAAATAGAAAGAGAGAAAGTCAAGTTATCTGTCTCTATGGATTATATGATTCTAAACTTAGAATACCCTAGAGACTGTGCCAAAAGGCTCCTAGATTCTAATAAACTTCAGTAAATTTCAGGATACAAAATCGTTGGGCAAAAATTAGTAGCATTTTACACACCAGTAATGTTCAAGCTTAAAGCCAAATCAAGAACCCAATACCATTTGCAATAGCCACAGAAAGAATAAAATTCCTAAAAATACAGATAACCAAGGAGGTGAAAGATCTCTACAATGAGAATTATGAAACACGCCTGAAAGAAATCAGAGATGACAAAAACTCATGGAAAAATATTATGTGCTCATGGATAGAAATAATTAATATTGTTAAAATGGCCATACTGCCCAAAGCAATTTACAAATTCAATGATATTTCTATCAAACTACCAATGACTTTTTTCACAGAATTACCAAAAAAAAAAATCTGAAATTGATATGGAACCAAAAAGGAACTGAAACAGCCATAGCAATTCTAAGCAAAAAGAATAAAGCTGAAGTCATCACATTACCTGACTTCAAACTATACTACAAAGCTATAGTAACCAAAAGAGCATGGTACTGGTAGAAGAGTAGACACATAAACCAATGCAACAGGATAGAGAACCCAGAAATAAAGCTGCACACCTACAGCCATATGACCTTCAACAAAATCAACAAAAACAAGCAATGAGGAGAGAACTCCCTATTCAATAAATGGTGCTGTAATAACAGGCCAGCCATATATAGAAAAATAATACTAGACCCCTATCTTTCACCATACAAAAAAATTAACTCAAGATGAAATAAAGGCTAAATGTAAGACCTAAAACTATAAAAATCCTAGAAGAAAATCTAATAAATACCATTCTGGACATCAGCCTTGGCAAAGAATTTAAGACTAAGTCCCCAGAAGCAATTGCAACAAACATAAAAATTGACATGTTAGACTTAACTAAAAAACTTCTGCATAGCAAAAGAAACTATCAACAAAGTAAATAGACAACCTATGAAATGGGGGAAAATATTAGCAAAAAATGCATCTGACAAAGGTCTAATATTCAGAATCCATAAGAAACTTAAACAATTTAATAAGCAAAAATCAGATAAATTCATTACAAAATTGGCAAAGGACATGAACAGACACTTCCCCTTAGAAGACATACATGTGGCTAACAAATATATGAAAAAATGCTCAATATCACTAATGATCAGAGAAATGCAAATCAAAACCAAAATGAGATATCATCTCATACAGGTCAGAAAGTCTATTATTAAAAAGTCAAAAAATAATACATGTTGGCAAGGTTCTAGAAATAAGGGAACACTTATACAATGGTGAGAATGCAAATTTGTTCAATCCTTGGGGAAAGCAGTTTGGAGACCTCTCAAAGAACTTAAAACAGAATTGCCATTTGATCCAGCAATGCCATTACTGTGTATATGCTCAGAGATAAATTGTTCTACCAAAGACACACATATACTCATATGTTAATCACAGCACTATTTACAATGGTGAAGATATGGAATCAACTTAAATGCTCATCAGTGGTGGATTGGATAAAGAAAATGTGGTACATATACACCATGGAATACTACACAGTCATGGAAAGGAACAAAGCTCTGTCCTTTGCAGCAACGTGGATGGAGCCAATTAATGCAGGATCAGAAAACCAAATACTGCATGTTCTCACTTATAAGTGGGATGTAAACACTAAATATTTAATAACATAAAGGTGAGAACAATAGGCACTGGGAGAAGGATAGGAGGGCAGTAGAGTTGAAAAACTATTTGGAGCTATGCTCACTATCTGGGTGATAGGATCATTCATACACCAATCCCCAGTGACACAAAATTTACCCATGTAACAAACCTGCATATGTACCCATGAACCTAAAAGTTGAAAAAAATAAAAAGAATTATTAGTTTCATGACAATAGAATATAAGTCCTATATGTATTTCATTCACTTTTTAATCTTCTTTCTCATCTTACTTTGCTGATTTATAATTTTATTTTTGAATTTTCTTCTCTGAATTTTGTTCTTATTACCTTTTATAATTATTTTGAATAACATGTTTTAGAAGATTAAAATAAAAACCAGTTAATTTGTACATAAATCTCCAAAATCTAATATGGAAATGTAATTATAATTTATTTTCTGATTATTTAGGAAGAAGGAACCTCAAACTTCATTAACATTAATCTCTATTTATTTTGTTTGTTTGTTTTTGTTTTGTTTTGCTTTGCTTTTTTTTGAGACAGAGTCTCGTTCTGTCACCCAGGCTGGAGTGCAATGGCGCAATGTAGGCTCACTGCAACCTCTGCCTCCTGGGTTCAAGTGATTCTCCTGCCTCAGTCTCCCAAGTAGCTGGGATTACAGGTGCGTACCACTGCTCCCAGCTAATTTTTTTGTATTTGTAGTAGAGACAGGGTTTCACCATGTTGGCCAGGCTGGTCTCAAATTCCTGACCTCAGATGATCCACCTGCCTCGGCCTCCCAAAGTGCTGGGATTACAGGTGTGAGCCACCTCGCCCGGCCTGCTACTTATGTTTTTGTTAGTAAAATCTTATGAAGTTTGTGCCTTTGTAAGTACAACATGAATTACTTATTAATGACAAATATGACAACAATGCAACATAATACTAGTGGTACTTATTTTTAGTATTTCAAATCCCCAAATATGCAACAAATTTATTTGTGTATATGTTTTATTAGTGTAAAGTTAATTATTTAAATATTATGTAATAATTTGCCCTGGGATTCTGTATTTTTTGTACCCTTTGTCTCTGGTCAATTAGTTGATTTTCCCCCCTGTAAACTCATAGTTTCTCTCATATTGATTGTTTTATAAATTCTTAAGATTAATTAGAAAAATATTGATAATTTCTAGGAAAAAATAATGTTACGCATATTAATTTTTAGAGTTAATAGAATTGAAACAAATAATAATGAATATGCTCTTTGCCTGTAAGGAATTTTACTGCAGTGTCATAATCAAGAGTTCAGATGCTTGATAAGACCTGGCTGTAGCCTAATCTCTGTCATACACTCTGAGTACCTAAATAATTTTTAAGGTATGAGCCTAATTTAACTCATTTATAAATGCGGCATGGCAATATTATCTAACATATGGGAAAATTCCTACCACATGAGATAATGTTACACAGTGCCTGATGTATAAAGACCCAAAATTATTAAGTCATATGTTTTTATCACTGTCACAAACTATCAAGTCTTAAAAGGCAATTCTGTTCTTCACAAAATCTGTTTCTCATATTATTTCTGGTGCTGTTTCCATACAATATTTAAGGTTTTTTCTATATATATAATAAAGAAACAGTTCATTTTTATTAAATTTCAATGTATTAGTTATTATATGTATACCTTTATTTTATTGGACAAAAATAGTTTCCAATGCCTCAGGCAATTTTAGTCTACTGATGACCCATTTGCCTCATAAAGTTGAATGTAGGCTTTGATAAAAACATAATAACACTTTCCTTTTGGATCCAAAGTTTTAGTTGTACTATGGCTTTGTTGAGGGATATTTTAATGGTATTTAACATCTCTGCTATATATCACTCTAAAAGTGAGTTCAAATTTAGTCACCTTCCTATTGTCTCTGACAAAGAAAAGGATTGGACCTCAATCTGATGATGATAAGTAACTAAATTCGAGCTTTCTTCAGTGGCTTTTTTTTCTTTTCTTTTCTTTTTTTTTTTTTTTTTTTTTGATGTCTGTGTGGAGCAAGGCTTCCTTGAGTCATAATCTCTTTGAGTTCAGTAACTAAGAGGATTAGGCCAGGTCAGTGTTTAACTTTAAACCCATGAAAAATGGTCTAGGATTTATGAGAAATGTTCAGCATGTATCACTGGTTGATATTTTTCTACTCTGAGTTTGAGAAGCACAGATGATATCAGCAGCATGAATTGATTTTTTTTTCTTTTTTTGGTAATTTGGTATGTTCAGAAATTTAACAAGTTGAATCTGTATTTTGGAAATGCCTAGATGTCTCTAAAATTCACCTTATGGCTTGACTGTAAGATATATTTCTATACAAGTAAGTTCCCTGGTTTGGTTTTTACACATTATTTCCAAATCACTCCATCTTCAAAAGAGGTTCAGTAATATTAAACACCTTTAAGTAAAATCTCCTTTATTCTCTGAGTCTCAATTTCTTTAACTATAAACAAATAATTAATAAGTTCCAGCCACAGAGTTATAAAAATTACAAAAACTTCAAGAAATATAATATGCAAAAGCTGCTTCAATCTTATTTATTAACTTGGTATATTAATTACTTGTACATTTGTTCAGTCTTGTTATTAATAATTCAACTTTCATATTTTTAATTTTTTAACATATATTTATAGCCTATATTACGTAAGGAACTATTTAGTGCCCAGTATCTTTAAATGGTTCACTGTGACTAATAATTACGTTAAAGAGTCATAGTGAATCAGTGAAACTTTCCTTAGTGTGCTACATACAAAACCACACAATTATCAGTAAACATAAAAACTAAAACCTACCTTGTCAGTGAGTGTTTGAGTAACAACTTAATTTAATTAATATTTGAGGCAGATTTTGTTTGTTATTATCAATTTAGTACAGTTATTTATTTTTTCTCATCTTTTTCCTATATTTGCAGTTAACTACTTACAGATGCAACTTTGACTACTCTTAACTTCTAGTAGCCACCTAGTCCAGTTCAACTCACTGTTGATTAACGGAGAACAGGAATCTCCTTAATAAGACTAGATAAAGGCTGGGCACAGTGGCTCACGCCTGTAATCCAACACTTTGGGAGGCCAAGGCAAGCAGATCACCTAAGGTCAGGAGTTCGAGACCAGCCTAACCAACATGGCAAAACCCCATCTCTACTACTAATAAAAAATTAGCCTGGCGTGGTGGCATGTGCCTGTAATCCCAGCTACTCGGGAGGCTGAGGCAGAAGAATCACTTGTACCTGGGAGGTGGAGGTTGCAGTGAGCCAAGATCGGGCCACTGCACTCCAGAGTGAGACTCTGTCTCAAAAAAAAAAAAAAAAAAAAAGATCAAAATGGATGTTCTGGATAACAAACTTCCTGTCTTTCTTCACTATTCTGCTTTCTGAAATTATATGTAAAACGTCTCAGGGATATGTGCATGCTGACAAAACAAAAGATCCATTTTTGTTATTTTAACCTTATTCAAAATCTTTTGATATCTGAGGAGCCTACAAATTATCTTGAGAATGAAGCCGGGCCATACTAATACTTTCTGGTAATATGTGACAACTTGATTAAAAAATTCTTACTGTGGCATTTAAGTTACAGTATTTCCCTTTATTTTACTAATACGTTAGGGACTTACGCAAATTCTGATACCGCTCAGTTGTTTTTATTCAAATGCATGCTTTCATAGTGATAGTTACATTAATATTTAAAAATTTGGTTTAAACTCCCATTGAAATTAAATGTAACACTCTCAATATACAGAGTTAGGCAATCAATTACATGTGCCAATTTTTATCAGAATTTTATTTTCTATATTTTTGGTGTGCTTAGAAAGCTTATTCATATACAAATACAATCTATAAAAATTATACTTTTCTAATTATCATTAGAAACATAATTTGACAGTAAAAGCAAAAAAAAAAAAAATCTGGGCAGTTTCATCACTGAAAAATCTAACCTTTTCAAATTAGTTTCAAATTAGTTTCTGCCAAACTTGCCTTTTCACTTTTTTGCTGTTTACCAATATACTAAACAGAAAACTTGGATGCTCCCAAATCCAGAAGAGATAAGCAGTAACACATTCATTAATAAAGGACATCTTTTAATTTTTGTGCCAAACTGTAATTAATTAATGTTTGAACTAACATATATTTGTCATTACTTTATATTAGAAAAATATCATATATCTGATATGTCCAAATAATTGAAATTTTTCATCTTGGTTTTTTCCAATTTCAGTAATAGCAATAACAGAATGATAGTTATCAGAAAGAATATAAGAAAAATATGAGAAAGAAAGTAAGAAGAAAGTATGGATTATTAGTTAACAAATACGTATCATCTTAAATAAAGTGAAAACCAAGTTTAAGGTTAATGCATTCTGATATATGCATTCATTTCACGAATATAAAATTTATGACAAATAATTAGCCAATTAACCCTAAGCTAATTAGAACATATGTCTAAAATACTTCATTAGAAGTGTCTTTATTATACTTACTATAGTTTATAAATATGTAAGTTTTTAAACTGTGAAGATTTAAAATGAAAGATTTTCTAAGCTTAGACATATTTATTATGACAACATATTCTACAATATAGTGGAGAGAAAACTTTTATACCTTTCACGTATAGTATTTTTGAAAATCCAGATGATATATTTAAATATATACATATATATATTCTTATAATATATATATATATTTTTGTTGTTGTTGTTGTTGTTAGACGGGAGTTTCACTCTGTCGCCCAGGCTGGAGTGCAGCAGCGGCGCGATCTCGGCTCACTGCAAGCTCCACCTCCCAGGTTCAGGCCATTCTCCTGCCTCAGCCTCCCGAGTATCTGGGACTACAAAAGGCGCCGGCCACCACGCCCGGCTAATTTTTTGTATTTTTAGTATAGACGGGGTTTCACCGTGTTAGCCAGGATGGTCTCTATCTCCTGACCTGGTGATCCACCTGCCTCTGCCTCCCAAAGTGTAAAATGTATTTTTAAGTGAATTATTGAGCTGCCACAAAACATTTTCCTCATAATTTTATGTATTTTTGTCATTTATTATCCACCAACTTGAGATGACTCGATGTTCCTTGGCTTACAGGGATACTCTCTTAATTCACTTTTCATCATTTTTTTTTTATTTTTGCAAAAAATCTTAACTTTAAAATTTACTTTAACATAGGCTGTGATCGATAATGCCACCAGGAAACTGGGAGAGAAAAATAAAATCAATAAAATCGTTTTATAGTGGAATACAATTTTAAACCAGACCTAAAATGATTCCAAGACATAGGTCTAAAATCACCAAGGGAAAAACAAAAAGGAAATAATGCACTGAAACTGAGAGCCAGAATAAATAAGCAAGTGTAGTGTGACACCTCAAAGGCTTCAGAAAGTGAAATTATCAAGAAGGCATAAAACAATAAACTTAATAGATATTAGGAAATAAAATAAAACCTTAAATGCAACTAAAACTAAACAACTCAAATGCCCATAAACTGATGAATGAATAAACAAAATATGACAACTTCATACAGTGGAATATTATTTGACATAAGAAGGAATAAATGTGAAGAAAACAGTCACAAAAATCACATATTGTATAATTCTATTTATATAAAATGTCCAGAATAGAAAATTTATAGAGATGAAATTAGATCAGTGGTTGCTTAGGGTCTGGAGAAGCATAGAGGATTAGAAGTGTGATGGTTAAGGCATATGGGGTTTCTTCTAGGCTGATAAAAATCTTCTCAATTTGACTGTGGTGATGGTATACATGTCTGTGAATATACTAAAAACCATTTAATTCTACACGTTACATAGGTGAATTTTATGGTATGTGAATTGTATGTAAATAAAGATATTAAAATATTTTCTATATATGCAAAAGACAAAAGACAAATGAAGAAAGAAAAAAAGAGAAAGGAAAGAGGCGGAAGGAGGGAGATAGAGAAGGAAGAAGGAAGGGAGGGAGGGAGCAAGAGAAGGAAGAAGGAAGGAAGGGAGGGAGGGAGGGAGGGAGGGAAGGAGGGGAAAGCCAAGAAAAAAATATGACTCTGTATTCCAAAAATAGCCAACAGAACTAACCTCAGAATATAGGATACAATGTTAGATTTTACAGAAAATCCATCTTAATTAGCTATTAAAAATATGTTCAATGATATAAGATAAAATAAGATCATAATATGTGAATAGATGAGGAATTCTGCAGAGAAATAAAAAATGTTTTTTTAAAAGATAATAAAATTTCTTAGAATTAAAAAATAAAATATCCAAAATAAACACTCTTCTGAATGGCTTTAATAGGAGATTGAAGACGACAGAAGTAAGCGTTTGTCAATTTGAAGACAGATCAATGGGAAGTATACAATCTGAAGAGCAGAGAAAAAAATTACTGAAAACTGTTTAACAGAGCTTCAATGACTTGTGGAATTAAGTAACATTAAGCAGTCTAAATTTCTGGAGACAGAGTGAAACGGGAAAAAAATAAAAATTTTAAAATATTGATTGAAAACTGTGTAGTGTGTCATATAGATACAATACAATTTAAACACCCATTCTAATAATTATGAATATTTGGTTGGTATTTAATTTTATTTGCTACTAATCATGCTGCAAGATTTCTGTAGTCTATGATATGCATGTGGGAGCTTAAACTGACAGTTTGTAGGATATTTGCCTGTACAAATTAGTAGTTATTTGTCTCTTCCATGCAAGTAATCCTGGTGAGTCTAACTCTAGCTACATAACTGAAGAAAAACAATTACACTATATCTCTCTGTACAAAAAGAAAGTTGTTTAGGATGTAGTCAAAAAGTTTAAGTTGCTGAAGTCCCTTGCTTTCACAGTTCCTTCCAAATAAATATATTAACAATTATGTTATTTTCTTGAGATATTTTATTTTGGGTTTCTGTCTCTTGCAATGATAAAATTGTTGGGTTAACACAGAAGACAAAATAAAAATAGCAAATAATTTTTTCTTAAAACCAACTAAAGGTGTCCAGTTCTATTTACTCTATGATTCCTAATTGATTTAATATCACAATCAAGTGCTTATCATTGAGTCATAATCAGTTACCAAAAACTAAGAATAGCCTTTCTCTCACCTCAGTCAATCTCTACCCAGGAGACATAAAGTGTTAACTATATTGAACAAGTAGTTTTATGTTAATCATGAGTGTGATGGTTAATATGTAGTGTCAACTTGATTGGATTTTAGGATGCAAAGTATTATTCCTGGGTGTGTCTGTGAGGGTGTTGCCAAAGGAGATTAACATTTGAGTCACTGGGCTGTGAAAAGCAGACCCACACTTAATCTGTGTGGGCACCATCTAATCAGCTGCCAGCATGGCCAGAATATAAAGGCAGGAAGGAAAAAAAAAAGAAAAAACAAAACAAAACAAAAAACATGAAAAGACTAGACTGGCGTAGCCTCCCAGCCTACATCTTTCCGATGCTGGATGCTTCCTGCCATCGAACATTGGACTGCAATTTCCTCAGCTTTTGAACTCTTAAAGACATTCCATCACAGACTGAAGGTTGCACTGTTGGCTTCCCTACTTTTGAGGGTTTGGGGCCCAAACTGGCTTCCTTGCTCCTCAGCTTGTAGGTGGCCTATTGTGGGACTTCACCTTGAGATCATCTGAGTCAATACTCCTTAATAAAAAGAAGTTTTTTTTTTTATTTATAGTTTAAAAAGAGTAAAGTTTCATTTACATATACATCTATCCTATTAGTTCTGTCCTTCTAGAGAACCCTGACTAATACAATGAGTGAGTAAATAGAAGGTAAGTAACTCAGCAGAGATTATTGTTTAATAAATATATAAGATAAGATATTTTAATATAAAGAAATATATATTTTCTCTAGCTACATTTTCCATTTTTTATCTTTATGCTTAAGTATATAAAAATTATAAAATTTATAGAGTATTTGTCAAAATTACACAGAAGCACTTCTTTTTTTGAGCAGAAGCATTAGAAAATTCTAATTACAATAAGTTTTCTATGAATAACAATTTTTTAGCAACCATATTTAATAGTGGCCTAATGTAATTGAAAGAGTTACTAAAATACTACTTCCCTTAAATTAAAATTTTAATCTTGAACTTTTAGGTAATTTAATGTTAGTTTAAAGTTATATAAAAATATTTATTAAAAACAGAATACTATTAAACTGAAACTTACTATATAGAAATATAAAACCTTCAGACTGTATCTTAATTAGCTAAATATTAGGCATTATTATTTTTCAACCCTTAGGCAAAATAGGAGATCCTCTGTCATGACAATGTAAATTTGCTGATGAGATTGAGTGTTTCTGCAAAAAACTGTTTTGAGTGTTTCTGCAAAAAATACTTATCAGGACTAGATAATGTTGAATTGTAATCTCAAAGAGAAACATCATATGGGCAGGATGTTAAATAAAGAAAAAATGGGTCAGGCATGGTTCACATCTGCAGTCTCAATGATTCAGGAGGCAAAGGCTGAGGGGATTACTGGAGGCCAGGAGTTTGAGACTAGGCTGGACAACATAGGGAAACCCCCATCTCTAAAAAATGTAAAAAAATAGCTGAGTGTGATTGTACTCCTGTAGTCCTTGCTACTCAGGAAGCTGAGGTGGAGGAGTCACTTTAGCCCAGGAGTTCAAGTTTACAGTGAACCATAATTGTGCCACTGCATTCTACCTTTGGTGACAGAGAGAGACTCTCTCTTTAAAAAAAAAAAAAAAAGAAAGAAAAAGAAAAATACAAAAAGAAAGTAAGAGACACTTGGAATCTGAAGAAATTATGAAGGTAAATGCAGCTAGAATCCAAGAAAAAGATAAGAAAGAAAACGAAGGCATATTTGAAGATAAAATAACAAAGAATTTTTCAATGCTGATAAAATACCATGCCAGAGATTTAAAACCTCTATAATTGCCTAGCAGAATAAATACAAAGAAAACCTTGCCTAGGATCATCTTAGGAAATCTGCTGAAAATCAAAGATAAAAATAACTTATTAAAAGTAGCAAGAAAATAAAGGCAAACGACTTGCAGTAATAAAATAATGGAAACCACTGTACAAAGAAATATAATCTTTAAAAGTCTGAAAGAAAATTACTCAACTTAGATTTCTATGTGCAATAAAATATCCTTCAAAATTCAAAAGGGGGATTCCCAGGCAAGATGGCCAAATAGGAACAGCTCTGCTCTGCAGCTCCCAGCAAGACCAATGCAGAAGGCAGGTAATTTCTGCATTTCCAACTGAGGTACTCAGTTCATCTCATTGAGACTGGTTAGACAGTGGGTGCAACCCACAGAGGGCGAGCAGAAGCAGGGTGGGGCGTTGCCTCACCCAGGAAGTAAAAGGGGTCAGGGAACTCCCTCCCCTAGCCAAAGGAAGCCATGAGGGACCCTGCAGTAAGAGATGGTGTATTCTGGCCCAGATACTACGCTTTTCGCATGGTCTTCACAACCCACAGACCAGGAGATTCCCTTGGGTGCCTATGCCACCAGGGCCCTGGGTTTCAAGCACAAAACTGGGCAGCCATTTGGGCAGACACCAAGCTAGCTGCATCAGTTTTTTTGTACCCCAGTAGCATCTGGAACACCAGCGAGACACTACCACTCACTCCCCTGGAAAATGGGCTGAAGCCAGGGAGCCAAGTGGTCTACCTCAGCAGATCCCACTCCCATGGAGCCCAGCAAGCTAAGATCCACTGGCTTCAAATTCTCACTGCCAGCACAGCAGTCTGAAGTTGACCTGGGACACTTGCGCGTGGTTGGGGGAGGGGCATCCACCATTGCTGAGGCTTGGGTAGGCGGTTTTTCCCTCACAGTGTAAACAAAGCTACTGGGAAGTTCAGACTCTGCAAAGCAGCTGTGGGCAGACTGCCTCTCTAGATTCCTCCTCTCTGGGCAGGGCATCTCTGAAAGAAAGGCAGCAGTCCCAGTCAGGGGCTTATAGATAAAACTCCCATCTCCCTGGGACAGAGCATCTGGGGGAAGGGGTGGCTGTGGGCGCAGCTTCAACAGACTTAAACATTCCTGCCTGCCAGCTCTGAAGAGAGCAACAAATCTCCCAGCACAGGCTCGAGCTCTGATAAGGGACAGACTACCTCCTCAACTGGGTCCTTGACCCCATGCCTCCTGATGAAGAGACACCTCCCAGCAGGGGTAGACATACACCTCATACAGGAGAGCACTGGCTGGCATCTGACGGGAGCCCCTCTGGGACGAAGCTTCCAGAGGAAGTAGCAGGCAGCAATCTCTGCTGTTCTCCAGTCTCTGCTGGTGATACCCAGGCAAATAGAGTCTGGAGTGGACCCCCAGCAAACTCCAGCAGACCTGCAGAAAAGAGGCCTGAGTGTTAGACGGAAAACTAACAAACAGAAAGCAGTAGCATCAATATCAACAAAAAGGATGACCACGCAAAAACTCCGTCTGAAGGTCACCAACATCAAAGACTAAAGGTAGATAAATCCACAAAGATGAGGAACAACCAGCGTAAAATGCAGAAAATTCCAAAAAACAGAATGCCTCTTCTCCTCCAAAGGATCACAACTCTTCGTCAGCAAAGGAACAAAACTGGATGGAGAACGAGTTTGCTGAATTGACAGGAATAGGCTTCAGAAGGTGGGTAATAACAAACTCCTCCAAGCTAAAGGAGCATGTTCTAACCCAATGCAAGGAAGCTAAGAACCTTGATAAAAGGTTAGAGGAATTGCTAACTAAAATAACCACTTTAGAGAAGAACATAAATGACCTGATGTAGCTGAAAAACACAGCATGAGAACTTCGTGAAGCATACGCAAGTATCACTAGCCAAATCGATTAAGCAGAAGAAAGGATATCAGAGATTGAAGATCAACTTAATGAAATAAAGCATGAAGACAAGAGTAGAGAAAAAAAGAATGAAAAGGAATGAACAAAGCCTCCAAGAAATATGGGACTATGTGAAAAGACCAAACCTACATTTGATTGATGTACCTGAAAGTGACGGAGAGAATGGAACCCAGCTGGAAAACACACTTCAGGATATTATCCAGCAGAACTTCCCCAACCTAGCAAGACAGGCCAACATTCAAATTCAGGAAATACAGAGAATGCCACAAAGATATTCCATAAGAAGAGCAACCCCAAGACATATAATCATCAGATTCACCAAGGTTGAAATGAAGGAAACAATGTTAAGGGCACCCAGAGAGAAAGGTCAGGTTACCCACAAAGGGCAGCCCATCAGACTAACAGCATATCTCTCTGCAGAAACCCCGCAAGCCAGAAGAGAGTGGGGACCAATATTCAACATTCTTAAAGAAAAAGAATTTTCAACCCAGTATTTCCTATCCAGCCAAACTAAGCTTCATATGTGAAGGAGAAATAAAATCCTTTGCAGACAAGCAAATGCTGAGGGATTTTGTCACCGCCAGGCCTGCCTTACAAGAGCTCCTGAAGGAAGCACTAAATATGGAAAGAAAATAATTGTACCAGCCACTGCAAAAACACACCAAATCGTAAAGGCCATCGACACTATGAAGAAACAGTATCAATGAATGAGCAAAATAACCAGCCAGCATCATAATGACAGGATCAAATTCACACATAGCAATATTAACCTTAAATGTAAATGGGCTAAATGTCCCCATTAAAAGGCACAGACTGGCAAATTGGATAAAGAGTCAGGACCCATCAATGTGCCATATTCAGGAGACCCATCTCACATGCAAAGACACACATAGACTCAAAATAAAGGGATGGAGGAAGATTTACCAAGCAAATGGAAAGTAAAAAAAGCAGGGGTTGCAATCCTAGTCTCTGATAAAACAGACTTCAAACCAACAAAGATCAAAACAGACAAGGCCATTACACAATGGTAAAGGGATCAATGCAACAAGAAGCGCTAACTATCCTAAATATATATGCACCCAATACAAGAGCACCCAGATTCATATAGCAAGTTGTTAGAGACCTACAAGGAGACTTAGATTCCCACACAATAATAGTGGGGGACTTTAACACCCCATTGTCAATATTAGACACATCAATGATACAGAAAATTAACAAGGATATTCAAGACTTGAATTTAGCTCTGAACCAAGCAGAACTAATAGACATCTACAGAACTCTCCACCCCAAATCAAAAGAATACACATTCTTCTCAGCACCACATCACACTTATTCTAAAATCGACCACATAATTGGAAGTAAAAACTCTTCAGCAAACACAAAAGAAGGGAAATCATAACAAATACTCTCTCAGACCCCACAGTGCAATCAAATTAGAACTCAGGATTAAGAAACTCACTCAAAACCACACAAATACATGGAAACTGAACAACCTCCTCCTGAATGACTACTGGGTGAATAATGAAATTAAGTCAGAAATAAATAAGTTGTTTGGAACTAATGAGAACAGACACAATGTACCAGAATCTCTGGGACACAGCTAAAGCTGTGTTAAGAGGGAAATTTACAGCACTAAATGCCCACAGGAGAAAGTGGGAATGATATAAAATTAGCACCCTAACATCACAACTAAAAGAAAAAGAGAAGCAAGAGCAAACAAATTCAAAAGGTAGCAGTAGACAAGAAATAATTAAGATCAGAGCAGAACTGAAGGCGATAGAGACACAAAAAACCCTTCAAAAATCAATGAATCTGGGAGCTGGTGTTTTGAAAAGAGTAACAAATTAGATAGACTGCTAGCTAGATTAATACAGAAGAAAAGAGAGAAGAATCAAACAGACCCAATAAGAAATGATATAGGGGAGATCACCACTGATCTCACAGAAATACAAACTACCATCAGAGAATACTGTAAACACCTCTACGCAAATAAACTACAAAATTTAGAAGAAATGGATAAATTCCTGGAAACAAGACTAAACCAGGAAGAATTCCAATCCCTGAATAGACCAATAACAAATTCTGAAATTGAGGCAGTTATTAATAGCTTACCAACCAAAAAATGCCCAGGACCAGAAGGAGTCACAGCCGAATTCTACCAGAGGTACAAAGA
Organism: Homo sapiens; assembly: GCF_000001405.40. NCBI lineage: Eukaryota > Metazoa > Chordata > Mammalia > Primates > Hominidae > Homo > Homo sapiens. The sequence continues at coordinate 38,917,933 of NC_000011.10, read as the reverse complement.
GGATCTGGTACCATTCCTTCTGAAACTTTTCCAAACAATAGAAAAAGAGAGACTGATCCCTAACTCATTTTATGAGGCCAGCATCATCCTGATACTCAAACCTGGCAAAGACACAACAAAAAAAAGAAAATTTCAGACCAATATCCCTGATGAATATCGATGCAAAAATCCTTAATCAATGGTATTCAAACAGGAAGAGAAGTCAAATTATCTCTGTTTACAGATGACATGATTGTATATTTAGAAAACCTCATCATCTCAGTCCACAAACTCCTTAGGCTAATAAGTAACTTCAGCAAAGTCTCAGGATACAAAATCAGTGTGCAAAAATCACAAGCATTCCTATACACCAGTAAAAGACAAACAGCCAAATCATGAGCACACTCCCATTCACAATTGCTATAAAGAAAATAAAATACCTAGGAATACAACTTACAAGGGATGTGAAGGACCTCTTCAAGGAAAACTACAAACCACTGCTCAAGGAAATAAGAGAGGACACAAACAAATAATAAAAAAAAAAATCCATGCTCATGGATAGGAAGAATCAATATCATGAAAATGGCCATACTGCCCAAAGTAATTTATAGATTCAATGCTATTTCCATCAAGCTACCATTGACTTTCTTCACAGAATTAGAAAAAAACTACTTTAAATTTTATATGGAACCTAAAAAGAGCCTACATAGCCAAGACAATCCTAAGCAAAAAGAACAAAACTGGAGGCATCACGTTACCTGATTTAAAACTATACTACAAGCTTACAGTAACCAAAACAGCATGGTACTGGTACCAAAACAGATATAGAGATCAATGGAACAGAACAGAGGCCTCAGAAATAACACCACATACCTACAACCATCTGATCTTTGACAAACCTGACAAAAACAAGAAATAGGGAAAGGATTCCTTATTTAATAAATGGTATTGGGAAAACTGGCAAGCCATATGCAGAAAACTGAAACTGGACCCATTCCTTACACCTTATACAAAAATTAACTCGAGGTGGATTAAAGATTTAAACGTAAGACCTAAAAACATAAAAACCCTAGAAGAAAACCTACGCAATACCATTCACACATAGGCATGGGCAAATATTTCATGACTAAAATACCAAAAGTAATTGCAACAAAAGCCAAAATTTACAGATGGGATCTAATTAAACTAAAGAGCTTCTGCACAGCAAAAGAAACTATCATCAGAGGGAACAGGCAACCTACACAATGGGAATAAATTTTTGCAATCTGTCCATATGACAAAGGGCTAATATCCACCATCTACAAGGAACTTGAACAAATTTACAGGAAAAAAAAACAACCCCATCAAAAAGTAGGTGAAGTACATTAACAGACACTTTTAAAGAGAAGACATTTATGTGGCCAACAAACATATGAAAAAAAGCTCATCATCACTGGTCATTAGAGAAATGCAAATCAAAACCACAATGAGATACCATCTCATGCCAGTTAGAATGGTGATCATTAAAGAGTTATGAAACAGGGCCGAGCACGGTGGCTCAGGCCTGTAATTCCAACACTTTGAGATGCCAAGGTGGGCGGATCACGAGGTCAGGAGATTGAGACCATCCTGGTTAGCACGGAGAAACCCCATCTCTACTAAAAATACAAAAAAATCAGTCAGGTGTGGTGGTGGTCACCTGTAGTCCCAGCTACTCAGGAGGCTGAGGCAGAAGAAGGGCATGAACCTAGGAGGCGGCGCTTGCAATGAGCCAAGATTGTGCCACTGCACTCCAGCCTGGGAGACAGAGCGAGACTCTATCTCAAAAAAAAAAAGCAAAAGGAAAAACAACTCAGGAAACAGCAGATGCTGAAGAGGATGTGGAGAAATAGGAACACTTTTTCACTGTTGGGAGTGTAAATTAGTTCAACCATGGTGGAAGACAGTGTGGCAATTCCTCAAGGATGTAGAACTAGAAATACCATTTGACCCAGCAATCCCATTACTGGGTATATACCCAAAGGATTATAAATCATTCTGCTATAAAGACACATGCACACCTATGTTTATTGCAGCACTATTCACAATAGCAAAGACTTGGAGCCAAACCAAATGTCCATCAATGATAGACTGGATAAAGAAAATGTGGCACATATACACCATGGAATACTATGCAGCCATAAAAGAGGATGAGTTCATTTCCTTTGCAGGGACATGGATGAAGCTGGAAACCATCATTCTCAGCAAACTAATATAAGAACCAAAAACCAAGCACCACATGTTCTCACTCATAAGTGGGAGTTGAACAATGAGAACATGTGGACATAGGGAGGGGAACATCACACACTGGGGCCTGTAGGGGGGTGGGGTGCTAGGGGAGGGATAACATTAGGAGAAACACCTAATGTAGATGACGGGTTGATGCATGCAGCAAACCATCATGGCAGGCGTATAACTATGGAACAAAACTGCATGTTCTGCAAATGTACCCCAGAACTTAAAGTATAATTTAAAAAGTAAATACATATATATATATGTTTTATATTTTAATTTGTATCTTAGAACTTAAAGTATAATAAAAATATATAATATTCATCAACCAAAGTTTAAAACCACAAATTTTCTATTTATTACTTATTAAATCAAAAACATAACTGATTCTTCACTTGAATGTTAGGTTTTTAAATAAATATGAAATAAAAGTTCAAAATATTTTTAAAAAACAAAGGCAAAATGATGCTCCCAGGCTGATCAAAAAATGAGAGCATTTTTGCTGAACAGTTTGTCACTTAAAAAAAAAAAGTAAAAACTAACAGGTACAATATACTACTAAAGGCAAAAACATATGCCTAACAAAAATGCATGCTCATGGCGGTGTTATATGCCATACCCTCAACTCAAAGCAGGCTAAATATCTAAACAATAGAATGGATAAATACACAGCTAAATGTCTTCAATGAATATAGCTGTGTATTTCAGGAATATCCTGCTGCTACACACCAACAATATGGATAAATCTGCAAGTATTATTTTGAAGAATGAAGTCATGCCATAACAAACATCATATTATTTAATGAACTTGGATTTCAACGTCTAGCAAAATTAGTTTATGTTATTAGAAGCCAAGATGATGGTTGCCTTTGTGGAATACTGTGGGCATAAAAATGTGGAAAAATACCAGAAGATTTTTCCAGTACTGATTATGGTCTATTTCTTTATATCCATGATATTTAGATGATTATATCCCCTTTGTGATATTTATGATGCCGTATTATGACATTTATATTTGGTAGTTATATATAGTCATTTGGTGCATTTTTATTTATTTGCTATTCTTCAATAAAAAATCTAATTAAAGAAAAGCAGCCAAGACAATCAGTTTTTTTAAAATTAGAGGTACTTCACCTTTTAATAAGACACAAATATTGAGTATAGTATTGGTGAAGATACACATGCCCAGATAGAGATACAGTCATATATGGAAACTTGCTATTTAATACAGGTGCATTTTACATTACTGGATCAAGGAGGAAATGTTCAATAAATGAAGGTGGGATAACTATTTCTGTGAGGAAAATAGAATCTTGGGCCCATAACTGACAGCTTTGTGAAAAATTTGAAGATGGATTAAAGACTTAAATGTAAAAGCAATAATTTTATCTTTTAGAAGAAATTACAGAAGTATACTTTTATAATCTCATAATCTTTTGTAACAAATTTATTTCTTTAATAATAATAAAAACTAATCACAAATAAAAAGATTAGAAAATGTAAATACATTAATATTAAGATCTTGGTTTCATCACAATCCAACATGAAGAAAATAAAAAATAGTTTACAGTATGGGAAAAGATATTTGTAACTTTATATAACTAAAATACATGCAGCAAATATAGAACAACTACAAATATAACCAAGAAAAGAATAAGCACCTCATAGAAAAACAGACAAAAGACATGCATGGGAATTTTATTAAAAAGGAAGCACAAATAAGTAGTCTATTAGTGAAAAGTATCTTCCTCATTGGTTATAAGAATATGCAGATGAAGAACATGATAAGCAGTATTTTACACTAACATGAAAAGCAAAAATTAGAAATGTAGTAACTCCTGTTCAGGAAGATATTGTAAATTGAATGGAATACTCATTTAATGCCAATAATAGATAAATTAGAACACTTTTGAAAACAATTTCACATGCTCTAGCACTGCAATATCCTATAACCCAGCATTTTCTCTTATTATACACTTTAGATGAATTCTTGCAAGTAAGGGCCAAGAAACATTCCCTGAAAAGTTCTTAGCAACGCTATTTAGTAAAGCAAATACATTTAACAACAAACCTCAACACCATAAAGCAAAACTGAAAAGTAAATTGTAGAAACTGGTTTGATTGAGTATTACACAACCATGAAAACAAATGAAGTAAACGTCGAAATAATAATAATAATCTTATACAGATGCTATTAAAGAAAAAGTCACAGAATACAACCTATAATATAATGCCACATATATATATGAAAAGCAAGGAAACATGATACCTTATATAAATTCATATAATCCAATTTTTTTTAAAAAGGAAGTGATAACAATAGAATTCAAGAAGGTAATAAGCTCTATGGGAAACACAGGTGATAGAATAGGGGATAGAAACGTGGTTAGCTGAAATTGTATTCATAATGCTCTAGTAACTAGACAAAATTATAAGGGTGGTGATATTACAGTTAGTTTACACATTTGCTATGCAAGTCTAGTTTATGTTCTTATTCCATATACCCTGATTTAATCACTACACATTATATTCATGTATCAAAATTTCACATACACCCCATAAATATGTACAATTAATTTGTATTAATAAAATATGTATCGTATTATCAATCAAGATACTTATCACTTTTTTCTGAAGTTGCAGTTTTCTATTTTTATTATTTTGTAGAAAAAATAATTATATAATATTAAAAAAAGATTACAGAGAATATACGGTTTTTATATTACATCTTTTTTTGTTTGTTTTTCTTCTTTGTGACCTTGCAAAAAATAAATTTGACACATTGAAAACAGTATTACATATTCTTATATAACTTACTTAGATCTCTTCAAATGTAGCAGCATAGACCTGTAGGTGATGAGATTCTAGCCAGACACAAAGTACACATAGCTGAACATAACAGAAGAATAAAAATTAAAGTTGAAACTGTAAACCCTGGATTCTCCTTTTTGATGCTCTCTCTTTTTTAATATTTAAATACGTGTCAGTTAGATACATAATGTTTGGTTACTAAAATATTAATATTTCCTGTGTTTCCATTTTGTTTTTAATCTTCAAAGACTTTTAGATAAGTCAACTTTTTAAGTCAATAAAAGACATGCTGTGAACTGAATGTTTGTGACTTCACAAATTTAAATTTTGAAATCCTAACCTCCTAATGTAATGGTATTAGGAGTTAGAGCCCTTGGTATACACAGGCATACCTCAGAGACATTATGGGTTCAGTTCCAGACAACCACAAAAAAGTAGACATCACAATATAGCAAGTCACAGAAAATTTTTGGTTGCCCAATGCATATAAAATTTATGTTTACAGTATACTGTAGTCTATTAAGTGTGTACTAGGATAATGTTCAAAATTGTACACACCTTAATTAAGAATACTTTATTGTTAAAAATTTCCTACAATCATCTGAGCCTTCAGTGAGTGCTAATCTTGTCACTGGTGAAGGGTCTTGTCTCAAAGTTGATGGCTCTCGACTGATCAGGGTGGTGGTTGCTGAAGGGTGGGGTAGCTGTGACAATTTCTTGTCAATGTGACAATGACATTTTTCACATCAACTGACTCCTCCTTTCACAAGCACAAAAATGTCTCCATAGCAAGTATTTTGATATTTTCACCTCCTTCCATGAATCATGAATATTCCTAATGCCTTCCAAAATGTTAAGTGCTTTCCAGAAGGTTTTCAATTTACTTTGCCAAGATCCATTAGAGGAATCACTACCTATGGCAGCTAGAGCCTTATAAAATATATTTCTTAAATAATAAAACATGAAAGTTGAAATGACTCTTTGGTCCATGGACTTAAGAATGAATATTGTGTTAGCAGGCATGGAAACAACGTTAATCTCCATGTGCTTCTCCATCTGAGCTTTTGGGTGACCAGGTGCATTTTCAATGAACGGTAATATTTGTAAAGCATTTTTTTTTCTCAGAAGTAAGTGTCAACAGTGAGCTTAAAACATTCAGTAAACCATGCTGTTCCATCATCCAGGCTTTGTTTTTCCATTTATAGAGCACAGACAATATATTTAGCATAATCTTTAAGGCCCTTAGGATATCTGGAATAGTAAATTAACATTGGCTTCAACTTAAAATCACTGACTGCATTGACCCCTAACAAGAAAGTCACCCTGTCCTTTGAATTTTTGAAGCCAGGCATTGAGTTCTCTCCAGCTATGGAAGTGCTAGATGGCATCATCAAATATAAGGCTGTTTCATCTACATTGCAAATCTGTTATTTAGTGTTGACACATTCATCATTTGTCTTAACTAGATCCTCTGGATAACTTGATCCAGCTTTCACATCAGCACTTATTGCATCCACTTGGACCTTTATGGTATGGCTACAGCTTCTTTCCTTCAAACTCATGAGCTAGCCTCTTCTAACTTCAAACTTTTCTTCTGCAGCTGCTCACCTCTCTCACCCTTCATAAAATGGGAAAAACTAAGAGCCTTGCTCTGGATTAGGGTTTGGCCTAAGGGAATGCTGCAGCTGATTTGATGATCTATCCAGACCAGTAAGGCTTTTTTTATATAAGCAATCAAACTGTTTCATTTTATTATCATTTGTGTGTTCACTGGAGTAGCACTTTTAATTTCCTTCAGGAACTTCTCCTTTGCATTCCGAATTGGCTGTTTGGCACAAGAGGCTTAGATTTTGGTCTATCGTGGCTTTTGAAATGCCTTTCTCATTAAGCTTAATCACTTCTAGCTTTTAATTTAAAAAGAGAGATTTGTGACTCTTCCTTTAACTTAGACACTTAGAGGCCATTGTGCAGTTATCAATTGGCCTGATTTCCAAATTACTGTGGCTCAGGAAATAGGGAAGTCCAAGGAGAGAGAGAGAGACAGGGAATGGCTTGTTGATGGAGCAGTCAGAACACATACAAAATTTATCAATGAAGTTCACTGTTGGATATGAACGTAATTCATGGTGCCTCAAAACAATTACAATAATAATAGCAAAGATTATTCATCATATATCACCATAAAGATGTAATTATAATAAGAAAATCTTGAAATATTGCACGAATTTCTAAAATGTTACACAAGAAAATGAGTGACCACATGCTGTTGGAAAAATGGTGCCAATATGCTTGCTCAAGATATGTTTGCCACAAACCTTCAATTTGTGAAAAACCAACAAACAAAAAAATGCAGTATCTGTGAAGAATAATGAAATGAAATGAAATAAAGTATGCCTATAATTAAGTCATGAGGTGGAGCTGTCATGAAAGAGATTAATGATCTTGTATGAGATCCCAGTATGCTCTCTAGCTTTTTTTCTGCCATGTGAGGACAGTGAGAAGACCGCTGTCTATTAACCAGAAACAATGCCCTCATCAGATACCTGCATCTTGATTTTGGAATTTCTAGCCTCCAGAACTGTAAGAAATTGATTGTTCTTTAAGCTACCCAGTCTATGGTATTCTGTTATAGCCTTCTGAACTTTCTAAGACATGTGGTTTTCATCCCAAGTTGAAAAGTCTTCCACCTTGCTCTTTTCCTTGGAAAACAAAATTTGGAGAATGTGCAGATAGCTGCAAACTTAAGTTGTTTTTTTATTGTTAACATAAGCGTTTATGTGACACATACAGCAAATACCAAAATATCTCTACCCCAAATTATTTAAAACATAACCAATCTAAAGTATAGCAATATATTATACTTTCTTTCAATATCCTAAATTAAAAAAAAAAGTGTATAATTCCTTTGATCACATAAACCTTCCGTGGTTTGAAGAAAATTACTTTCCCTTTCTTTCCTTGTTATTTTTTGCTACTTCTCTGTTAAAGTGCAAAACTTAGCATTCTTTTTGGTAATTCTCCCTTCTCTTTACCTAGTATTGGCAAATATAAAATGAAGCAAAAACATTTTTATGTAGGTGCTATTATTACAAATTAAAATATTATACATATATTTACTTTTTTATTATACTTTAAGTTCTGGCGTACATGTGCAGAACGTGCAGTTTTGTTACATCGGTATACACGTGCCATGGTGGTTTGCTGCACCCATCAACCCATCCTCTATGTTAGGTATTTCTTCTAATGTTATTCCTCCCCTAGCCCCCTTCCCCAATAGGCCCCAGTGTGTGATGTTCCCCTCCCTATTCCATGTGTTCTCATTGTTCAACTCCCACTTATGAGTGAGAACATGCGGTGTTTGGTTTTCTGTTCTTGTGTTAGTTTGCTGAGAATGATGGTTTCCAGCTTCATCCGTGTCCTTGCAAAGGACATGAACTCATCCTTTTTTATGGCTGCATAGTATTCCATGGTGTATATGTGCCACATTTTCTTTGTCCAGCCTATCATTGATGGACATTTGAACGGTTCCAAGTCTTTGCTATTGTGAATAGTGCTGCAATAAACATTTGTGTGAATGCGTCTTTATAGCAGAATGATTTATAATCCTTTGGGTATATTGCCAGTAGTGGGATTGCTGGGTCAAATGGTATTTCTAGTTCTAGATCCTTAAGAAATTGCCACACTGTCTTCCACAATGGTTGAACTAATTTACACTCCCAACAGTGTAAAAGTGTTCCTATTTCTGCACATCCTCTTCGGCATCTGTTGTTTCCTGACTTTTTAATGATCGCCATTCTAACTGGCATGAGATGGTGTCTCACTGTGGTTTTGATTTGCAATTCTCTAATGACCAGTGATGATGAGCTTTTTTTCATATGTTTTTTGGTCACATAAATGTCTTCGTTTTAAAAGTGTCTGTTCATATCCTTCATCCACTTTTTGATGGGGTTGTTTGTTTTTTTCTTATAAATTTGTTTAAGTTCTTTGTAGATTCTGGATATTAGCCTTTTGTCAGATGGATACATTGCAAAAATTTTCGCCCTTTCTGTAGGTTGCCTGTTCACTCTGATGATAGTTTCTTTTGCTGTGCAGAAGCTCTTTAGTTTAATTAAATCCCATTTGTAAATTTTGTCTTTTGTTACCATTGCTTTTGATATTTTAGACATGAAGCCTTTGCCCATGCCTACGTCCTGAACAGTATTGTCCAGGTTTTCTTCTAGGATTTTTATGGTCCTAGTTCTTATGTTCAAGTCTTTGATCCATCTTGAGTTGATTTTTGTATAAGGTGTAAGGAAGGGGTCCAGTTTCAGTTTTCTGCATATGGCTTGCCAGTTTTCCCAACACCATTTATTAAATAAGGAATCTTTTCCCCATTGCTTGTTTGTGTCAGGTGTGTCAAAGATCAGATGGTTGTAGATACGTGGTGTTATTTCTGAGGCCTCTGTTGTGTTCCATTGATCTCTATATCTGTTTTGGTACCAGTAACATGCTGTTTTGGTTACTGTAGCCTTGTAGTATAGTTTGAAGTCAGGTAGCATGATGCCTCCAGCTTGGTTCTTCTTTCCCAGGATTGTCTTGGCTATAAGGGCTCTTTTTTGTTCCATATGAAGTTTAAAGTAGTTTTTTTCCAATTCTCTGGAGAAAGTCAATGGTAGCTTGATGGTGATAGCATTGAATCTATAAATTACTTTAGGCACTATGGCCATTTTCACAATATTGATTATTCCTAACCATAAGCATGGAATGTTTTCCCATTTGTTTGTGTCCTCTCTTATTTCCTTGAGCAGTGGTTTGTAGTGTTCCTTGGAGAGGTCCTTCACATCCCTTATAAGTTGTATTCCTAAGTGTTTTATTCTGTTAGCAGCAATTGTGAATTGTAGTTCACTCATGATTTGGCTCTTTGTCTATTTTTGGTGTATAAGAATGCTTGTGATTTTTGCACACTGATTTTGTATCCTGAGACTTTGCTAAAGATGCTTCTCAGCTTAAGGAGATTTTCAGCTGAGACAATGGGGTTTTCTAAATATACAATCATGTCATCTGTAAACAGAGACAATTTGACTACCTCTTTTCCTAATTTAATACCCTTTATTTCTTTCTCTTGCTTGATTGCACTCGCCAGAACTTCCAATACTATGTCAAATAGGAGTGGTTAAAGAGGACATGCTTGTCTTGTGCCGGTTTTCAAAGGGAATGCTTCCAATTTTTGCCCATTCAGTATAATATTGGCTGTAGGTTTGTCATAGATTGTTATTATTTCAAGATACGTTCCATCGATACCCAGTTTATTGAGAGTTTTTAACATAAAGAGGTGTTGAATTTTGTCGAAGGCCTTTTCTGCATCTATTGAGATAATCATATGGTTTTTGTGATTGGTTCTGTTTATGTGATGGATTACATTTATTGATTTGCGTATGTTGGTCCACCCTTGCATTCCAGGTATGAAGCCAACTTGATCGTGGTTGATAAGCTTTTTGATAAGTTGCTGGATTCGGTTTGCTAGTATTTCATGAGGATTTTCACATAGATGTTCATCAGGGATATTGGCCTGAAATTTTCTTTTTTAGTTGTGTCTCTGCCAGGTTTTGGTATCAGGATGTTGCTGGCCTCATAAAATGAGTTAGGGAGGAATCCTTCTTTTTCTATTGTTTGGAATAGTTTCAGAAAGAATGGTACCAGCTCCTCTTTATAACTCTGGTGGAATTCGGCTGTGAATCCTTCTGGTACTGGACTTTTATTTGTTGGTAAGCTATTAATTACTGCCTCAATTTCAGTACTTGTTATTGATCTATTCAGGGATTCGACTTCTTCCTGGTTTAGACTTGGGAGAGTGTATGTGTCCAGAAATTTATCCATTTCTTCTAGATTTTCTAGTTTATTTGTATAGAAGTGTTTATAGTATTCTCTGATGGTAGTTTGTATTTCTGTGGTATATCATTTTTTATTGCATCTATTTGATTCTTCTCTCTTTTCTTCTTTAGTATTCTGGCTAACGGTCTATTTTGCTGATCTTTTCAAAAAAAAAAAAAAACAGCTCCTGGATTCATTGATTTTTTGAAGGGTTTTTCGTGTCTCTACCTCCTTAAGTTCTGCTCTGATCTTAGTTATTTCTTGTCTTTTGCTAGATTTTGAATTTGTTTGCTGTTGCTCCAAAATATAAAATATATTAAGTGATGCTGTTATTACTGAAAAGATGTTCTGCATTGTAATTCATCCTAATCGATATTTAATCTAAGATTTTATAATGCAGACAATATAATAAATTGTTGATAAATAGTTTTGTAGCTGATGACATTATATCTGTTTTTAAACATGCCTTTTTTTCTGTAACCAAGACAATTCTGTGTAAGTCCATCCTTCATTTTATAGCTCCCAACATTTTAGGAAGATTTTTATAACAGAACTTTAAAATATTGCATAATTTTATGGTAAACCAATCATTTTTCTTAACTCTGGGTAACATTTCCTAGAAATCTCTTAAGATGTAAAATCATAACCTTCTGTAGCATGTTGCTGTGCTTGAGGCTAGATTTTATACCATTCATCTCTCACCACCTGTCTTGTTGAATCATAACCTAGGCACCTGTAATCAATTGCATATCAAATCAGAGATTCCCCTAACATTTTAATATAAAATGACCGTTTTGGGGCCCCAAGAGATAGGTATCATATCAGATTAATACAGGCCTGAAAATTACTTATCATTTGTTAGAATAGTGATAACAGGAGAAATCTTGAGTTAAAGACATGGGTGAGACAGCTCATTTGTATTTTCTGTCATGATGATTGAAATAGAATGAATACCAATCATTTTTATATGATGTATAAATTTTCTAACTTATTTGTCTTGGGGAAACATTGGCTAATTTGCCCAAAATTTGATTATTAATAAGAACATTTTTGATATGTGCCTAAAATCCTCACTCTGATTCTATCTCTGCTTTGTTGGAAAATTCTAGCTCATATCACAAAATCTTTAAGCTTGAGCATAGGATACACATCAAAGCACATGAAACCCCTCAGAAAATACTCAACTGTAACTCAGATAACAGAAACATTATTTTGGGAGTAGTCTTTCACAAATTTTTACATATCAGTTGTATATCTTCTTCATTTAATTGCTTAAATTGCAAATGTTTTTGAAAATTAGATTGAGCATGTCTGCATCACAATGTATGTTGTGAAAGCATGAAGAATTTCAACTGTTCAAACATCTCTGTGAGTCCATTGATCTCATAATTATTCTAGATGTGTCTTAATATTTATGGAGAATACATTGGAAACATTAATTAGATTTTAATACCTTTGAATCTCACTTTGATTATATGGATGTGGTATGACCAAATTAAGTAACAATGCACTTATTAACTATAGACTCTTTAATAAAGTCAATTCACTATACTGTCTAATGAATTATTTCTAACTTCTAGATGGGTTCTATGAATATTAGTTTACAGACTTATGAAAGTTAGATCATGGACTTATTTTAGTCTATATATTCAGAAACTGATAACATGCATCCTAAGTATAGCACCAGAGGTGAAAATATTAACATAATAGAAAATTTTAACTTTACTTACTGAAATGTAACAACTAATTTGCTTTCCTACTTTAGTTATTTTTCTCATGTGGGCAGAGCCTTTAATCACTTTAAAGCAATGCTTCTAAAGTTTTTTTTTTTTTTCAATTCATCTATTAGATTCAGGGGTATATGTGCAGGTTTGTTATAATGTATATACTGTGTGATGCTGAGGTTTGAGGTATGATTGAACCCGTCATCCAGGTAATGAGCATAGTACACAATAAGTACTTTTTCAACCTTTACCCCCTTTCCTCCCTCCCTATTTTGTCGTCCCTATTGTCTACTGTTCTTATCATTATATCCATGTGTACCCAATGTTTAGCTTCCAGTTATGAGTAAGAACATGGGGCATCTGGTTTTCTGCTTCTGTGCAAAACAAGATTTGATGAAGAAATATTTGGAAACTACAAATACATTTTTTTTGGTCTTTATAACATCTTGAAAAGGGTCAAAATGCTAGTCCTAGAAGATAATATTTGGAAATATTGTAAAAACCAAACCATTAAAAACGTCCTTTTATGTACAATTTTACAATTTTTTTCAGAAAAATCTGAAAGACGAATATCTTAAATGAATGTCCCAACCAAAAATGATTTATGCATCCGTAGAATTAGGGGTGGAGGAAATTGAACATTTTAATGTACTAACACCCATTCTGAACATTAAATTCTGTCCAAATATGCTCATCAAATAAGTGAAATGCATTCTCTTTGGTTACTTTTGTTTAATGTCACAGTCTACTTCTTTGAATAATAAAAGCTATCCATTTTTATTTCTTAATCACGGCTATATCTGTCATTTTTGCCCTGAAACTTGAGAAGCTATAACATTTAATTCAATTCTAAAGCAAAACTTATACAAATACATTTCTTTGCGTTTTCTCCTAACCAACCTAGCCCATGCCTTTCAATCTTGTAGATTTTATTGCATCATTTTATTAAATGCAGCATTTTAGATTTATTTAGGTCTTCTCCTTTAATTTAATCACATCTTTTCTTTTATTATTTTTCTGAATTACAATCTTTATAAATGGATGACTTATCAGAAGAAAGAACAAAAGAATCCCTTAAGTTATTTTCCTGCCAGACTTTTTATTAAGTGATCTTTATTGTAACGATCAAAAAAAAAATTAATCAGAGGTGTCTTTAGAGAGATTAAAAATGACTTTATTTCTACTTTATTTTTTAAAATCCCAATTCTGTGATTACTACTAAAAAATGCATGTTTTTAATAGAGGGAATGACTTAAGATTCCCACAGATATTTTGTCAGTGTTGGAGACAATGAGTTACACAACCTGGACTAGAATCCCTATGGGAGAAAAATGTGACTTCTTAATTTATGGAGGCATTGTTTCATAAGAGACACTGGTTGAGAAGCTAAAAGTGTAAAACCTAGGATCTATTTATAATGATCTTTAGAACTTGGAATAAATCACTGCCCTCAGTTTCCACAATTGACATTAATCTAACGTCTTTCGGGAGAGCCAATGAGTTAAAGCACAATAATTAAAATTCTGCATGAGTATGAAGCCATCATGAGTTTGGCTATGTTTTCATTTCATATGTATTCTTATTACTTATTATTTTTCTTTAAGTTAAGTGCTTAAAAAATTAAATATATTTTTTAAAAAGAAACTTTATATCAACTTTAAAATGGAAAACAAGAACGCTTTGCATAAAAACCAGATAACAAAAAAAAAAAACACTTTAAAACCAAAGTAATGCTAAAATAAATCCTAGATAGATGCAGTGCCAGCTGAAAATTCTGAGCCTGGGGCTTTATCTTTGTTAAAACAGGGAGAAATTATAAAGAAATAGTGGTATTAAACAGAAATGTTCTCTTTGGTGTAATAAGAAAGTCAGGAAGAGAAATGAAAAATAATATGTTTCTTTCTCTGTGATTCAATGCTATTTAACAGTAAGATAAAAAAACACTTATCCCTATAACAACAATTTTATGTATACCAAACTTTGTGAAATATTTGAATGATAAACCTAAGAGGTTTAACACAGTACCTGCCAAATGTCTTATAACTTAAGTGTGATACAAACCTAAGATGTTAATTTTACTAAATTAAAGATTGTCACCAATCCAATTAGAGTAAAGTAATCTTACTGGGATCTGTTTCTAGAATGATTCATCTCTATTTTAATAAACAATCTAATTTGTTTCATAGGCCAGATATAGTATTCCTCTTTCAGACATCTGTCTGGTGTAATAAAATAAGGACCAGCAGCACAAAGTTATTAGAAGAAATTTAACTGTTATAAAAGAGTATGTAATTAATATTAATTAGAAAGTTTCTAAAACATACAGGAATACTACACCTCTGTTTTGCTGATGAATCCATTGCTAAGTTTTATTTAAGTTTTTGTGTGTTTCAGTTCTAAAATTTCCTTTTGGTTAATATTTATCTAGTCTATTTATTTGCTAAGAATTTCTGTTTCTTTGCTGAGACTTTCTAATTGTTCCTTCATTTACCTCAAGCATGTTGTTAATTGCCTACTGAAGCATTTTTTAAAAACCATGGCTACTTTTGTCAGAGGCGCTCAAACCAGAGTGACTTCAACCTTGAATAGGGGCTGAATAAAATAAGGTTGAGACCTACTAGGCTGCATTCCCAAACAGCTATGCATTCTAAGTCACAAGATGAGATAGGACATCGGCATAAAATACAGGTCATAAAGACCTTGCTGATAAAACAGGATGCAGTAAAGAAGCTGGCTAAAACCCCTAAAAACCAAGATGGCAACAAGAGTGACCTCTAATTGTCCACAATGCTACATGCCTACCTGTGCCATGACAGTTTACAAATGCCATGACAATGTCAAGAAGTTACCCTATATGGTCTAAAAAGGGGAGGCATGAATAACCCACCATTTGTTTTCCATATAATCAAGAAAGAACAATAAAAATGGGCAACCAGCAAGCCTCAGGGCTGTTCTGCCTTTGGAGTAGCCATTCTTTATTCCTTTACTTTCTTAATAAACTTGCTTTAACTTTACTGTGTGGATTTGCCTAGAATTCTGTCTTGTGCGAGATCCAAGAACCCTCTCTTGGCTTCTGGATCGAGATGTCTTTTTGGTAACACTTTGAAATCATTATGAGACAATTCTAACATTTCTGCCATCATGCTGCTGACATCTATTGATTTTTTACTTTTAAGTCAAATCTTTTTTTTTTTTTGTATAATGAATGATTTTTTTGAGACAGGTTATATTTTAGCTGGTTTCAAAACAAAAGCCACCCAACAACATGAAACAGGCAAGTGATACTTTAAGTTTATTCAAGGCTATTGCTTCAGAGGAAGAGATCAGAACATGGTCTAAATTCAACTCAAGAAGTGAAGGGCTGGAGAGTCTTTAATAACTGGGAATGGTAGGTGCTTAGTCAATCTGTGTTTACTAATTGTCCTTACCAAAGGCAAAGTAAACTTTCTGGAATCTCATGAGAGGAGGCAGTTTTACAACTTGGAGCAGGTTGCCTACCAGGCACCTGATTTAGTCTCCTATCCTGTCATAGAGACTGGGACACAAGAATGATCTCTTCCTTGGTTATTACATTTGAAAGAGAAGGCTCTTAGTCCTTGAGAAAGACAATCCTGCATTGCAAATCTGGCAGGAGGCTTTTAAAAAAAATGTACATCTCATAATGGCAGGGAAGAATTTGCAATTACAGAAGCTGGTCACAAAATTGGTCAAGCTAAGGAAAATGTTAAGGACATTTTGATCACTGGCTTTTTCTGACATTGTTCCAGCAGGAAAGGAGATAGGGTAGGGGGTAGAATGTCACTCTATAATTACTGAGTAGAAACAGGAGTCCATATTTTCCACTTAGCCTCCTATGACACTCAAGAGGAAGGGAGAGGGTGGCTCCTGATTTTTGCCCAGCAAGGATAGAAGTTTTATTTCCACATGTGGTCTCTACTGACACAGTGGTTTGCAGTTGCTTAATTTCTGCCGAATGGTGGCAAAAGTGATGCTCTTTTTAATTTTTTTATGTTTTATTTTGTTTGAGACTAAGTCTTACTCTGTCTTCCAGGCTGGACTGCAGTGTTGCGATCTCAGCTCACTGCAACCTCTGCCTCCCGGGTTCAACCGATTCTCCTGCCTCAGCCTCCCTTGTAGCTGGGATTACAGGCATGTGCCACCATTCCTGGCTAATTTTTTTTTTTTGTATTTTTTTTAGTAGAGGTGGGGTTTTACCATGTTGGCCAGGCTGGTCTTGAACCCCTTACCTCAAGTCATCTGCCCACTTCGGCCTCCCAAAGTGCTGGGATTGCAGGCATGAGCCACTGCACCCGACCTCTCCTTTAGACATTTCTAACACCTGGTGAAGAGGAGGAGTAGCAGTTTGTTACTGCTTGCTGGGGTGAAAGGTAAGGTTCCTTATGTGTACTCCACTGACCCTGCACAGGGGGCCTTTTGTCATTGCGCAGCAGGAATAAAAGTCCAGGGTTCCCACTTGGCCTTCCCTAATTCTAACCTGGTGGGGGATTGGAGCATCTAGTTGTAGCCTGGGAAAGGTACAGGTCTAGACAAGTGTCAACCAAAAAGTGACTGAGGCAGATTTCCATCAATTAGTGGTTTATTTTCCCAAGGTTGCAGACATAATTGGAAAAATTAAACACAAATCACAGTAAGATCTGTGACCTACATTTTTTCCAAAGAGAGTTTTGGCAACTGTAATGTTTAAAGAGTAAAGAGTAAGCAGGAAGGGAAGAAGAAAAAGCTGGAAAAAGCCGGGGGTGGGGGGAGCGTGGAGTAAGGGGGGACGGGGTACGCAATGAGGCAAGTAGTTACATTCTTGTGAGGCTCCGATTAGTGGTCAGTCAATCTACATTTTACATGTGAAAAGAAGGGAGTGGAAGGAAGTCAATTATGCATTTGTCTGGAGCTCTATAAATCTACATTTTACATAAGATAAACGTGAAAACAGCTGTCTGTTTGGCAACAAAACAAAGGCAGCTTTTGTGTGGCTCAGCTCCCAAGCTTAACTTTCCTTTTGGCATAGCAAGTCTGGGGTCCAAAGATTCTACTTTTCTTTTCACACTACCTACACAGCCTCTCTGCCAGGGTTAATTGAGGTGACAGAATTTTCTATGGAGTTTGGGTGGAGTTGAGCAGTTATGATCTAGAAGCTTTTTGTCTTCTTAGGCAGTTATTTTTCTAGTTTGACTAGAGAGAGCAGGTTTTTGGTAGGGCTTTATGTTGTCTGTGTCCATTGGTGTTTTTAAATTGCCAGCTTCTGTAACTCCAAGTCTGTAATATATGAGGCAAAAAAGGAAACACAAGAATATCATCACTACCATGTTGTTCTTTGGGTCCTGATAGTCCTCGCTGGTCTTCCTTTTCTCCACTTTACAGATTCCTCTCCTCCTCCTCCTCCTCCTCCTCTTCCTTCTCCTCCCCCTCTTCTTCCTCCCCCCCTTCCTCCTCCTCCTCCACCTCCTCCTTCCCCTTCTCCTTCTCCGTCTTCCTTTGTTCTCTTTCATATAATGTCCAAGGTTTTTAGTTGGGCTAAAACTAAGGGCTACTTAGCAGAAGAAAGAGGGAAAAGTGTGTCTACTTCATATTCCTAGAAGGAGAAACCTGATACTATTTTTAAATAGATAGTTCTTTTTATCTTTAACTGAAAATTTTGTTTTGAAGGACAAATGCTTTTATTCATTAACCTAAATTGTGCTGCTACTGCTAGAGATACAAGGTTTCCATAATTTATTTTTTACGAATATAAAATATTCTTCTTCAATGTATCAAAAATCCTTTTATATATTCTTCATTTTATGTAGAAACATATTAAGCTTGGCAAACTAGGTAACCTTTTATGACATAGCATGTAAGTTCTTAAATTCCAATTTTCCATAGTTTTTTTTTATGAATATAAAATATCCTTCAATATATTATAAATCCTTTTATATATTCTCCATTTTATGTAAAAACATTTTAAGCTTGGCAAAATAGGTAACCTTTTATGACATAGAGTGTAAGTTCCTAAATTCAATGTGTCACTTACTGAATCTTTAATATCGGTCAAGTTACTTTATTTCATCAAACCTCAATTTCCTTATACATAAAATTGGAAAAAAAATTGAACATACAGGTTGATGGAAATATGAAATACAGTACTGCAGGTGAATTTATGAGCTCATTACGGATTATGGTGAATATATATGGCAATATTGTTATTATATGACTTATCTGGTTCTTTCCTTTGTGCCTTTCTGTGTGTGTTTTTGAGTTGGCAGCTTGAACTGACAGTGGAAAGGAAAGTTTCAGGAAAGTTCAAGTGGTAATATGAACAGCAGAATTAAATGTATATGTGATGAATTAAAAGGATTGGCTTTGTGGAGGTAAGTTATTTATAAGGGTAGAAAATTTACAATATGTACAGGAAAATTTCAAGAAGAAATCTATCTCAAAGGAAAACACTCCATGGATTGAATGAGCTATCAAAAAATTTAGCAGACCGATTGAAAAATGAAAGAAATTATAACATGCTGCTCATATTAAAAAACAAAAATTTAATAGTACTGGATACATTAATGTGTAATACATTAATTTGTGTGTGTATATATATACATAAAGATGTAAACTGAGGATGAATATAACTTACAATATTAAATGATCTATTTATCTGAGTATTGAATCATAACTGTTTGAGTGCCTGTTTTCACAATATAAAAAATAATTTACCTCAAAATTAAAGGTCTTTCTTCTTTTTGCTCAATAAAGTGTTTGACATAAAAGAAGAACTTAATAATTTTTTTGCCTGAATAAAACATGAGCCCTTATGTGACTCAAGTTTTCATCACTTCCCATCTTTCTTTTTTTCTTTTGTTTTATCATTGTGCATTTTATTTCTAATAGTCTGGTGGAGTCCGTTCACCACTCCTTTCACATCCCATGTTGATCCTCCCCTGTAGGGTTTAACATATTACTGTATTAGTCCATTCTCACACTGCTATAAAGAAATACCTGAGACTGGGTAATTAATAAAGAACAGAGGTTTAATTGGCTTACAGTTCTGCAGGCTCTATAGGAAACATGATTCTAGCATCTGCTTGGCTTCTGGGGAGGCCTCAGGAAACTTACAATCATGGCAGAAGGCAAAAGGGGAGCTAGGCGTCTTACATGGTGAGAGCAGGAGCAAGAGAGAGGAAGGAGGTGCTACATACTTTTAAACAACCAGATCTCCCAAAGACTCACTCACTATCATGAGAACAGCACCAAGGGGATGGTGCTAAACGATTCGTGAGAAACCACCCTCATGATCCAATCACCTCCCACCAGGTCCCACCTCCAACACTGGGGATTACAGTTGAACATGAGATTTCTGTGGGGACACAGATCTAAACCATATTACTTACATAAACACGGAGACTAGTGTATGAAACTTTTACTTTCCCTCTAATAATGTAACTAAGCTTCATTTTTTGTCTTACCCTAAGTCTACAGGAATGTCCTCCCAGTCTTTGCTTTTCTATCACCTATAATTCACTGTTACAATCTTTCTAAGCCTCTTCTGATCTATGCACATGAATTGGATTCACTGAGGACTTTCATTGGCACCTAACACTACCCTTGTCCCTATGTTAAGATGTCTTTTACTGCCTTCCTTTTCCTGTTCACTCTATGAACACTATTGTGCTGACTGAGTGAAGCAATTGGGGTAAAAGACAAGAATACACAACTCTCTTCATCGCTCCTTGTGAAGCTTTTGGTGACCAGAGGAATCTCCACTGTCATTCTTGAAAACACATTTTCATGTCGTTTTTCTCACTATTGCCAACACAAAGAACTTTGAAAATATTTTCTGAAATGCTTCTGAAACTCATACAGATAAAAGTGCCTCCTATCACCACCCAGTTATTTTCCAGTAGAGACCACCCTTCCAGAAGCAGTTACTCCCACAACTGGTAACACTGTGCGTAGTGCTTCTTTTGTCACAGTCAATATGTCAGCTCAAGTTTACCAACCATTGGTGCTTCCAGGGCCTTTTAGACTCATTCCCTGAAGCCTCACACCAAAGGATCAAGATGTCAATATGCCTGAATGTACTCATCCAGAAATTCCTTGTCCTATACTCTAAGGAAACTCTTAGAAAAATAAAACATTTCCCCTCTTATAAAAAAAAAGTAAACAATCAGACCATATGGTATTAGTTTAAAATTCCATCTAATCTGCATGTGTTACCTGCACTTATACAAAATATAGATGATGACTTCATCTCACCTACACTGCATATATCTTTATTGGCTGGAACAAGTAATCAAAGGCTGAAAAAAGAGAGAGTGGGAAGCACATATAAAGTTTTAGATTGTTAAATTTAAATTCCTTGCATATACGTAAAGTTAAGACAGTAGAAAGAGACCTCCCTCATAACAATCTCTCTCCCCCACATCCCATATTATTTTAAGCACCTAAGCTTGAAAAGTTCTTATTCATGATTCTACTATATCTCATCCTCCTTTAGTCCTCAAACTAAGGAAGAGGGTTCTAAGCCATATAAAAAGATGTGTATCAATAACATTTTGCAATTGTAAAATCCAGCATTGTCTTTGTTATCATCATACTACTTGATCTCCCAAAATCTTTTGTCATTGAAGATGGTGCCTTTATTTTGAAAAAAAGAAACTTAAAAATGAAATTCTAATCACTATAATAAGTAAACTGAGAGGGTAAAATTCATTTTATTTTATAAATGATTATATAATAAATACATTCCTTGTACAAAAGGAGTAATGCTATGTCATCTGGAAGATGGGGACAACAACTGATGCTTATTGATTACCCAATATATGTCCAGAATTATATTGGCATATAACAGGTTGTCTCTAAAGATGACTTCTAATAATTCCTTTAATCTTTGTATGCACATATCACAATTCCCATCAGTAGACAGGTGTGGTGTCTTCCTCTGGAATTCGAGTTGGTCTGATGACTAGTTTCCAGCAATAAAATCCAGTGAAGACAAATGCTTTGCTAGTTCTGGATGTAAGTCTCCAGAAGTCTGGCAACATCCACTTTCCCTCTTTGGAGTCTAGCTGCCATGTAAGAAAGTTCAGATTAGACTATTAATAGTGAGTGAATATGTGAAGAAAAGCCCAACCAAATACCCAACATTCCACCTTCCCCAGCTGAAACTCGGTATGTAATGAAAGCTGTCTTAGAGGATCCATCGTCAACTGTGCTTCCAAAACAAATGGTACAGCAATGGTGACCACAGCCAAGGTGACGCCGAGCAGAAGAACTCTCCATCAAAGTCCTGCTTTCCAATAGAATTGTGGGAATACATGGTAGTTGTTTTGAAGTATTTGGTGGTTATTCAGCAATTGTTACTCGGCAATAGATAAATGAGACACACATTAATACCCAGCAGTGGAGCACTGCATAACAGAAACTTAAAATACGTGGTGTTGGCTTGGAATTAGGTGGCTGGAAGAGGCTATGTGGGTAAGAAGAGACTGTTGGTAGAGACTGCGGGGGCAATGAGGCAGCTGCAGTAGGAGGCTCAAGGAAAGAAAACCAGCAGCTTGTATTGGTGGAAAAACTGGCAAAGTTGCTCATTAAATTAGTGTGAAATAGAGAAAAGATATCTGACTAAGGAGATATCCAGAATCAAAAGTGCCAATTGACTTTATTTACTGTGTATGATAAAATGTAAGAAGAGAATGATGTGAATAAGAAGGAAATATTCAGTTTTAATACATAATTCAGAGGAAATATTTCCGTCTGAGGATTTGATAGGTTGGAATATATATCTATTTCTAATCCTTAGCCATAAAGTTGAAATAGCCTCAAGCAAACATCAAATCCAGGGCAAACAAATCCATCAAATTCAATAAAACATGGCCTCAGGGGTAAGATCAAATAAAGGGTACAGACATAAGACCCTTTTTTAGAACCTCAGAGAGACTTGAAAATTTTTCTCTTATATTACTTCAGCATGACAAAAAGGGCCTCTAAGAATATTAAGGACAACCATGGCTTGCAACCCAAAATTAAGAAGGGTCTGACTTAAAGATATTGGTTGGTATGACTTTTGCCTAAGAAAATGAATAATTTGATAAGAAGTTATTACAGGACTTATACCAGCTTGGACTAGAAGGTAGTAAAAAAGTCGAAAATGAAATGAAGCTTCTGGCCACGAACAGTCTAGTTATCAGAAAGAAAAAGCTACTCAGCAACATATAAAAGTTGTTTCATATGATAAAGGAATGGTATCTCAGAGAGCAAAGCAAATAGAACCAAGGTAGAGCTCTATATGGATTGATGATCGATTCTCATATGCCGTAATTGGCTTCTATTCAAAGGACATTCCGTCCCTGCAGGAATACTCTGAGAGCAAGCGACAGCTGAATTTCAGAACTACAATGCAGCAGAGTCTGCAATGTGCTGCCTGTTTTCCCTCCTCTCATTCAAAGAGAGTCTCTATTGTGCTGCCCCTGTCTATGAATGATACTAGGTGCAGACGATCAGTCATTTTAATTATCAATACTTAAGAAGAAAAAGACTAGCACCCAGAAAGCCAGATCCAAATACAGACCTGATGTAGATCACAAGATACTAAACTTCAAGTCTCACGCTCTACTAGGGTGAGTTTCGGAGGTGGCTTAGAAGGGGGTGAGTAGATTTTTCACATGAGAGGGGCATACATTTTTGTGGCAGATTCTACTGAGATTTTATTCTAGAAATTGGACTCATCCCTGTACATGCCTGCCTTCCATCAGTCTTGTGACTTCTTTGACCAATTAAAATGCACTGGCTTCAACATTCTGCCAGTTCCATCTCTTGACCTTAGAAAGTATGTAGCTTCTATTTTTGTCCTCTTGCTAGTCAGCCTCCTGTAGAAGTTAAGACTCAGCCAGGCGCGATGGCTCAGGCCTGTAATCCCAGCACTTTGGGAGTCCGAGGTGGGCAGGTCACCTGAGGTCAGGAGTTCAGGATCAGCCTGGCCAACATGGTGAAATCCTGTCTCTACAAAAACACTAAAATTAGCTGGGCATGATGGTGGGTGCTTGTAATCCCAGCTACTTGGGAGGCTAAGGCGGGAGAATCGCTTGAACCTGGGAAGTGAAGGTTGCAGTGAGCTGAGATCACGCCATTGCTCTCCAGCCTAGGTGACAAGCAAGACTCTGTCTCAAAACAAACAAACAAACAAACAAACAAACAAACAAAAAAAGACTCTCTTTCTACAGAGGACACAAAAACATAGAGGCTCAGTGTGCCTATACTAATACTTGTAATACCGCCATCCATTGTGTTAGACATGTGAATGAAGACGCTTTGTATACTACCACCCAAGTCAACATACCCCAGGCAACACCACTGGAGTAGAGATTATCCATTTCCATGGAGTCCAGCCCAAGTTATATAATCAAATGAACAAATAAATGGTTGTTTTAAATCACTTTATATTGTTTTAAGCTTTTTAAAGCTTTGGGATGTTAATAACCGATACAAGGCACTTTATATGTAGTTTCTTCTTTCATTCTCAACAAAATATTCTAAGATAATTTTTCTGATGGTCCAGTCACCTTCTCCTGATAAACTACACCACTGTTCAAATGGAAATATTGATATATTTAGGGGATTGAACCAATGTGAAGATATGCTGCTTGAATTATCTAAATGATCAGCTCATACTCCACTTGGCTATGATTGTTTATACATTCATGGTGCCATTCAACCTTTAAGTGCTTAGACAGACACCTATTTGTCTAGGTTAATTTCAAGGCAGCCTACGTGGAGTCAAGAGGATTAACTATCTGACCTTTGGAGTTTCCTTCCAGCAGCATGATTCTATGATTAATGGTGGCTCACCCACTTTCATGGCAGCATGTAATGGTGTTAACTCACATATGAAAAATAGAAACCCACAATGCTCTTTTATAACTACCTATACTTAGAAAAACTAAGAAAAACCTGCATTTCAAAAATAAAAGCAAACCAAGAGAGATTGGCAAATGAGTGGCAAATCAAAATGTAGCAACAGGAAGCGTTCAAAGCTCCTAGGTAAGTACTTTATTAATATATCAGAGGCAATTAACACATATCAACAAATATATAACACAAGGAATCATTTTAAAGTTAGATTTTGGATGTGCCAGGGAGCAAAACTTTACTTATAGTACTTAGCACTACATGCCTAGTACTGTGCTAGACACTGTTGATATTTTCATATAAAGAAAACACAATCTTTGTTTAGAAAAATATGTCTTATTACCTGGGCTTTATAAATCATTCAAAAAAGTTTTTTCTCTAATTCTTTTATGAAATTTGTCTTAGCAAAAACTTCAAATACCACAATTTTAGCTTACTGCCTTCATCCTGGGCATTTAATATCTAGAGAGTGACACGGGAACATAATTACAATAAAATAAGAGCAACAGCATTGCTTTTACCTTACTTGTATAGTGTTTTGCACAATTTCAAGAAATTCACATTTTATTATCACCACTGCCAGTGAGATAAAAAGTGGAAAACTGAAGTTTTTTGAGGTATAAGAAAAAAGACATACAAAAATCTTACCTTTTTCAGTGTTGTAGAGCTAGTTATTGAGAACCAAGGCTTTTAGCAAATTTATTTTCAACATTATAAATACTCAAAATCTCATAGTTGTGAATGAAATATATCCTTAGTCTGATAATTAAGGCATTTATATTTATATTTTCATAAAATGTACATCTAAGTTTTCTGTTTTCCTTATAGTTTGCCCAAGGTAAATAAGCTACTGTAAAATCATTGGGAGTCTTGTAATTAACAAAGCACTTCTTCTAATTTACCTCTGTCATTAATTAATTAAAGAAGATGGAAGGTGTATTAATCTGTTCTCACACTACTAATAAAGACATACCCAAGACTTGGTAATTTATAAAGGAAAGAGGTTTAATGGACTCACAGTTCCACACGGTTAGGGAGGCCTCACAATCATGGTGGAGGGCAAAGGAGAAGCAAAGGCATGTTTTGCATGGTGGCAGGCAAGAGAGCTTGTGCCAGGGAACTCCCACTTATAAAACCATCAAATCTTGTGAGGCTTATTCACTACCACCAAAATAGGATGGTGTAAATTGCTCCCATAATTCAATTACCTCCACCTGTCCCCACCCTTGACGCATAGGGATTATTACAATTCAAGGTGAGATTTGGGTGGGGAGACAGCCAAACCATATAAGAAGGTTTAAAGAAATTCTGATTGATACCAGCATAAATATGTCGACTTTTAGAAGATAGAGGGTAAATTACAGTGCTGGAGAAATTGTCCAGTCATGTTTGGAAAAGACAGGACACACAACTGCTTCAGGAATCTTAGTAGCAGAGACTAGTGTACCTTATTCTACATGCTACAAAATACTCATCACCAGCTGCCTGCTTTCTGGCACTGGATAAATTCCTAAAGATTAACATTTCCAGGAGAGAGAGAAGAGGGGGGAGAGACAGAAAGACAGACAGAGAGAGAGAGACAGAGACAGAGAGAGAGAGAGAGAGAGAAAGAGAGAGAGAGAGAGAGAGAGAGAGAGAGAGAGAGACTGACTCATGAGTATAAGAACTACCAGAATTAAAAAGAATAAACTTGGAAAATTCCCCAGAGAACATGATACTGAGCAGATGAAAGCAGTGGCAGTGTACCATACCTCATCATAAAATTAGAAAAATAGTTTCTAAGGAAACTAAGCATTTTGGTAAAAGTTTAATTCACAAATGGTAATATTGCTGGGACTGGTACCCATATCTTTATTTTGTTTTCACATGTCACTGTAGAATTTTAAATTCATTTTTAATAAAAGTAGGGTTTTTATAATGTCCAATTAATGTGTAAATATGTGTAAAACCATGTAAACTAGGCTACATGATTTCTTTAGCAGTAGACATTTCATAAATGTGTTTACACTGCAGTACTTTTTTAAAAGAGGATGTGAAATTCATGCATGATGAACTTGCCTAAAAAAATACAGCAAAGTTTACTTGTTATCCGAAAGTTATTTGCTGTCTTTTGTAGAACTTGACAAATCTGTCTACAAGTTCAAATAATGCTGGGCAAAATTAGTTGGAGAGACAACAGCCAAAAATCTATCTCTTCGAAATTCAATTAAATTTCTTTGAATCATTTAAAAGTGTACATAATTACTCTTATTTCTGTATTTCCCAGTGTTCTGACTTTCCGGATATGACTTTAAAAGTCTCCAGCTCTCTCAGTCACATCTGACTTTATTCTTCAGCTATTTATTTTGATTTTCAGAAAAAAGAGGATTGAGTGAGAAGTGGGATAGTACAGTGGTCAAGAGTGTAAAGCTGTAGTCAGACTGCCTAAGTTCAAATCCCAGCTCTGATGAGTTTTATCTTGGGCAGGTCACTTCGCCTTGTCTGTTAATAAGGATAGTTACAGTTATTGTGAAGGGTTATCATGAAGATTACATTTGTTAATATATGCGAAATTCTTAGAACCCTAACTGGCACATATGTAAACATTTGCTTTTCTCATGTTAACGAAACACATTGTATAATGATTACTCAGTGGGTGTCTGCTGACTGATTGTCTGGCTAGGGATCCACTGGATCCATTTGGCCCTCCGGTTAATGTGAATAGGATTATTAGCAGTGGAAGAGATCTAAATTATCCTGAGTTACCAGCAGGGAATCCATAGGCATCTGCAGCAACTTCAGCCCTTGCGTCCTCAGAAGAAAGAATTCAACCGAGGGGCATAAAGCCGAAAAAGAGATCAGGCAAATTCCAGGGCAGGAGTGGAAGTTTACTTAAAAGGCTTTAGAACAGGAAGAAAGGAAAGTTCACTTGGAAGGGATCCAAGAGGGCACCTGAAGGTTAAACTGAGAGCTGGTCAAGTGTCCGTTTATCCGTGATCCTAAGACTTTTACAGGCTTGCCTCTTTCCCGCGACTCTTCCCTCCTTAGGGTGGGCTTCCCACATGCGCAGTGTGTTCCTCATCCTTTGGAATTGAGCATGGCAGTGTGTGTAGGGAGTTACAGGCAGGCCCATCTGAGGGCTTTCTTCCCTTTTCCAGAGGCGTGTACCTGGAAGATCATACTTCATCATTTTTGTCTCTTAATGTGGATGCCGAGGATGTTGCTTCTGCCTGAGGCCTACATTCAGTTAATTTTTTGATGTTAACAGGTGTGGACCATCAGGAAATGGCCTCTTTCTGGCGCCACAGCCAGTTTATCACTTTTGGAGAGGCAACGCAATAAATTGTGGAATCCACCACCCAACATTTCTAGTGGGTGGTGAGGGGAGAGCCCTCTCTTGCTCCACTCATGTCTGTCTATCTACCTATAACAGGATAAATAAAATATCACAATTAATTTGACACTTAGGAAAATTTTAAGTCACCATTTTATTTTCAAACAATCGTGATCAATCACAGCTTGAATATTAATTTAATCTAGTATAGCAGGTAACCTGAAGTGTTTTCTTAATGTTTTACCCTCTCAATCTTTCTTCTTTTACACTTAGTAATATCCAAACTAACATACTTTTTGAAAAATAGCTGCCCTTTATAGTTCTGTGAAGGCATGGATTACTAAATAATTAGATTTGTCTGAAATATATTGATATAAATTTTACTCCCATCAGATAAAAATAGTTATTTGAATCTCTTTGTTTTATTTATCAGATAATGCCATAAAATTCTGTATATTTATTTCTGAACATATTTAATCATAAACTGAAAAGTAAATAAGCATTGTGAATTTTGTTAATGAAAAGATCTGTAATCATGTGTGGCTGCAACTGCATTGAAGTAGTGGTACAGAGGAGACCTTAGAATGGTGTGATTTATTTAGTTACTTGTTCACTCGTTTTCTTATCTAACAAATATTTATTGAGTATTGCTAGAGGACAGGTGACTCTGGAAGTAAAATAGTTAACCAGATAGATACATTGTCTGTTTTTAGGGAACATCTATTTATGGAAGAAGACAGATAATAAGCAAATACATAAATATGATAATTTTAAATAATGAGAAGTCCTAGGAACAATATATAACAGTGTAATGTGATAAAGGGTGACTGGAAGTGCTCATGGAAGGCTCATGGAAGGCAGCTCATATTTCAGCTTAGGTGTAAGTGATAAGAATTCAGACCTATGAGGCTCTGTGGGAAGAACAGTTCAGAGAGGGGAAGAGCAAGTGCCAAGGTCTCAAAGCAGAGATGAACTTGACATATTTAAGACCTGGCAGCTTAAGCATAGTATTGTGGGGAGAGTAGTAAGGAATGAGACAGGAGCTTCATCGTGTAGGATCATATTATGTGTAGTAACAAATGTGTATTTTAATCTATGTGTAATGATAATTTATTGAAGAGTTTTAAGTAGAACAATATTGCTTGATTCACATTTATAAAAAAAACTATGTTGGCTTTTAGAATAACTGAATTTTATGGCTGTATTATGATTCTCTTACAATTACAAAATGGTTAAAAATATATATGCCTACCTTGACAAACCTTTCTGACCCCAAATGGTTTTATTAAAACTAAAAATTCTATTTCTCCTAAATAGGAGGAATATATGTCCCGAATTCATTTCCTCTCTCCTCTCTAGGATTTCCAAACTTAGCCTGGTAAACTTTTGTACTAGGTAAAACTGGTCACTTCTTTTTTGATATTGTTCAATAAGGCAATGTTTTATGTAGGAGGTAATGCTTTCAGAAATATACAATAATATAAAGTAATGTATTGGTAAAGAATATTAACAATTTTTAAAGCATTATCTTTAACTACTTATGACATCAAGACATCAAGTCAGAATCAGTGAAAGGAAAACATCAAATTATTACTGCTACGCCCACAAAATTTGCAGTGTGTTAGAAAAAATTAGTCTGTTTTTTGAATAAGTTATCACATATTGGAAGTGTGCAAGTAGAACCTACACAAATTGCATTGACATTGAGAGTGTTAAGACATCACCTTTTTGCGCAGTGGATGGAGAGGCAAGAAGTGGCGGGCCATAAGAAACTATGTGAAGAAACATCGAAAGTAAAATATGACACAAATGATCAAAGAGCGCAAACATTTTAGCTAGTTTGGATAGAATATCTAATAAACATATGTCAATATATCATGAAAACAACATATTTGGAATTAATGTAAGTTTTGGTTGTTTTAAATCAATTGTCAGTAATTATAAAAGTTACTTTATCTCTCAAACTTTCTTATTAAACTTAGCAGCTGGCCATGAAAAATCCCAGGCATAAAGTTATATAATTTTTTAATTTATAACTTGTTATAGAGTAAGTGTACTCCTTTCCAAGTAATTCTTTAGGCAGCAGTCAAACCAGAGTGAGCATTTCAAAATGCATATCTTATCAGCAAAGTCTTAAATATTTTGATCTCTTCTCCTTATACTTAACACAAGGAGGATCTGGCTCTACTTGGTATATAGTCCAACTAACTTTGGTAGCCATGTCTTGAACCATTCTTCCTTAATTTTCTGTAAGTCAGACAAAATGGATTTAAATTAGTTTTTCTTGAATGCTGTTACTGGGATATATTTTCTCCTCTCTTTTTCTTTTTAACTCCTATGGGTCATTTAATCTCTTGCTTACAGTTATGTTAAAATACACTTTTGGTCAGGCATGGTGGCTCATGGTTACAATCCCAATGACTCAGGATTCAGAGATGAGAGGATCACTGAAGGCCAGGAGTTCAAAACCAGCCTGGGCAACATACTGAGACCCTGTCTCTACGAAAAAAAAAAAAAAAAAATAGGCCAGGTGGTGGCTCACACCTGTAATCCCAGCACTTTGGGAGGACGAGGCAGGCAGATCACCTGAGGTCAGGAGTTAGAGACCAGCCTGGCAAACATGGTGAAACCCCATCTCTACTAAAAATAAAAAAATTAGCCAGGCATGGTGGCGGGTGCCTGTAATCCCAGCTACTCAGGAGGCTGAGGCAGGAAAATCACTTGAACCAGAGAGGCAGAGGTTGCAATGAGCCAAGATCGCACCACTGCACTCTAGCCTGGGCAACAACAGAGTGAGGCTCTGTCAAAAAAAAAAAAAAAAAAAATTAGCTAGTTACAGTTGTGCATGCTTGTAGTCCCAGCTACTGGGGAGGGTGAAGTGGGAGGATAGCTTGAGCCCAGGAGCTTCAGGCTGCAGTCAGCAGTGATCACGCCAGTACACTTCGGACTGGGCAACAAAGTGAGAACCTGTCTCAAAAGAAACAAAACAACATCCACTTTAATAAGCTGCATGGCATCAAGTCACGTTCGTACATACCACCTATCATAGTGTCTATTTTCCAGTTATTTTTATGGAATTAATATCTATGTATTCCACTAAATTGAGGATCTATGAAGGTAATAGCCATCCCCTTATTTGCTCTATGTGGTATTCCAGCACTGAGTTGTGCCTAGTGTGTACTGAATGAATGAATCATTGGGTATAAAAATTAATGATGACAATGAAAAGAATGGATACGAAGTTTCTTTATGATAGTAACTTCTCTGATTTACCAATTCTCTACAATTGCCTGATAATCCTAATGGTTTTCTATAGCTTCTCTCCAATAAATAATGTAGACACAAGTAAGAATTCGGAACTGCTGTCAGAAATTACATTATAATAATTATCATCAATATCATTTTCTTTATCACTATTATCATTGTGATCATTGTTGTCAGAATTACAAATACACCTCTGTTCCATAATTTTGCTAAATGGAAATTTAAAATACATACACTTACAGAGTCAAGCATATTTTTCATGTACAAAGAGGATTAATGAAGAGATGATGGGGAAGAAAGTGTAAATCTATAGAATGTATTCATGTTTTGAGGTATAATGTGAAAATTTAGCTTTGAAAGAAAGCAATAAAATTTGCGTTTTGTAATTTATACCTAGTTCGACACCCTCTGGGCCAGGACAAGGAACAGATGCTGTCAATACAAATTGCATCACTTTCAAATTTAACATATTATCATCACAGAATGCTACTTTTTTCAGTCTGAACTTGTATCCTAGGTATATGAAATATTATCTGTTCATAGAACTTTTTCCCAATTTGAATATAAATGTACACCAGACCTGTGATGGATGATTATAGACCTCATTTTCCTTCTCAGAAAAAAATAATTAGTATTTCTCTTTTGCAAAAAGCAGGAACCATTCAAAATTTTACCTAAGATAGGCAAACTTGTGATTTATAATGTATATGTGTTTGTGTATAATATTGAATTACAGTAGATTAAGCAGAGTAGTGTGCATGCATTTTACACAGCATTTAATTGATATTCAAAATATTTCTTAGATGAATGAATGAATGCACTCTGAAAGCATTAGTCTACTTCAGCAGTTTTTGTTAGCAATTAAGAGATTGTTCTCCCTGAAGACATTTATACTTAATGTATATTTTAAAAATAGTATGACACATTTTTTCAAATGAAAAGTGTTGTATGTATGTGTACAATTACTTTTTTTATTAGCTTCCTAAATATGATTCTGCCCAATATTTAATTGCTTCAGTCTTGTATTCAAAACATGAATGAAACATTCTAATTTGACATCCAGGTTTTCAAAATAACTAATAGGAAACTTGAAGTAAAGCAACACCTCTCTAAGCTTTGAATCATTTTCTACCAATACTATTTTCTTAAAATTATGTATTTTAAAAAATTAATGGACAGGTAAACATGGAGCTAAAATGTTCCCTTTGGATTTGCAGGCAATTATTTCGACTTGCATCATGAGAAAATAAAACACCTTCACACATGAAAATGATTAAGTTTGAAACAATTGAAATTTATGAAGTATACATTAAAAATAAATGTTCTCGTTCCTCAGAGAACAAAACATTTTGTTGGTTCCTGGAGTTTCTCTTTCTAAATTAAGGTTGCTACCATTTAACTGTCTCATTTATTCACTTACATATGGGATTCTTTGAGAAATCTAAGATTCACTGATGTCTTAACAAATACAGGTGGGTACATTATGGATGAGCGCACATGTTGAAATCTAATATAGTTTCACTTGGAACTTATATTAGATTCATTTAGTTTTGGATACCAAAAAATAAATCTTTTAATTCATGTCTCTTCATTTCCCCCATATATTTGCCCCTTCTATATATGACTGACATAGAAGATGAAGCTGAAAATTTACAATTTCAAGATATTCTTAGAAGATATCTGGTCTACTTTTTTGAGCTGTTAACATTTTTCTGAGGTTTGTAAAATACTTATAATTTATAAAACTTTGTTAACTTGGTAAGTGAAAATTAAAGCCAGACTTTGACTTTCACTAGAAATAGCTGTCTTTCATTATGTGCAATAGTCTAGATCAATCTTTATAAACATTAGAGGTGAGATTTAAATCTAATTTCCCAAATTATTTCCATTTATCATGCTGCTGCTATGCATGCAATGCGAATGAATGCAGTTGGTTATCAAGGCCAAGAACTTTCCTAACATGAAGACAGTATCAGAATGAATTTACCATTGATAATTTGTTTTGGTCACTCATAAATTAAAGCTTCTTCCATAATTTTGGAAATTTTTAGGCCTATGAAACAGAGTCCCACTCATGCTAGCTGTAAAGCTGAATATTTTTCTTACAAGCTCCACTTGCACTTTAAATATATAAACACAACTTTGATTCAACCAGTCAGATGCACCCAGTCCAGACTTGTAAGCCAGAGATACATACAAGCAGAAAAAATGTGCATAACATTCTGGCAATGATGAGAGAGTCAGTAGTAATTACATTTATTTTTTCAGAGGCAGTGACATAAGCGCATATTGAAAAGTGTCTCCTGACATTGATAGAAAATGTAGAAAAGGAAGCAAACAAAACGAACAAAACAACTATGACAAAAATCAATACTAGGAGAAACAAAATATTGTATAAAAATGAAATCATGTTTATTGTTCATTATATGGTATGGTTGTGAACAATAATTATGTAGTCCTCAAAAATGCATTCACCAAAAATAAGGGTTTAAATAACAATTGTGATGTCATCATATTACAAGGATGAGGAAAGGAAATGTTTATGAAAGGAAAGAATGGGCCAGGAACGGTGGCTTACGCCTGTAATCCCAGCACTTTGGGAGGCCAAGGCAGGCGGATCACCTGAGGTGGGGAGTTCAAGACCAGCCTGACCAACATGGAGAAACCCTGTCTCTACTAAAAATACAAAATTAGCCAGGCGGGGTGACATATGCCTGTAATCCCAGCTATTCGGGAGTCTGAGGCAGGAGAACTGCTTGAACCGGGAGGCAGAGGTTGCAGTGAGCCGAGATTGAGCCATTGCACTCCAGCCTGGGCAACAAAGGAAAGAATGTAAGAAAGATAGAGCTGTATTTTATCTTCCAAATTTAGAAGTCAATATATGGACTAGTCATGGTTCTCCAGATAAACAGAATGATAGATATGTTTTAAGGTTGGGTTTACTGATTTTGGAGGCTTGGCAAGTCCAAAATCTGCAGGTTAGGCCATCAGGCTGGAGACGTAGGGAAGAACTGCAATTCGAGTCCAAAGGCAATTCTTCTTGCTTGGGTGGCTCAGTCTTTTTCTTTGTACAAAGGCCTTCAACTGACTGAATGAAGCCCTCCCGTAACAGGAAAGGTAATGTGCTTCATTGAAAGCCTACGGATTTAAATGCTAAACTCATTTAACACATACCTGCCGAGAAACATTTAGAATAATGTTTAACCAAATAGTTTGGTACCTTATTCTAACCAAGTTGATACATAAAATTAGCCATCATGATATATAATATCTAAACCTCAAAAATTAAAGAAATAGTGTGAGGAAATGGTGTTGGGGATGAGAAATGGTGGTATATAGGGTTGTGCTGTTTCCATTATAAGTCTGATAATTTTTACTGTTTAATGATTTAAATTATGTACAAAGGTTACTTGGATAAAAAATTTATAAGGTTACATTTTAGTAAAATATAAAAACTCATATGGTCATTCTGAATATTTCAGATGTATATTTTTGTCTTGTCTTTCATTTCCTCCTAGGGCAATTAAGTAACAATGAAATTGAAATTATCAAATAATTCATCTATTTAGGAAAAATGGAAACTAGTAAAAATGTGGCATCCACACATTTACAGAAAGTCTTGGCTAATGAAAGCATCGATAAATAGTTCTAGGATTGTAAAAATGAATATATATTTCTAATTTTCTATTTTAATTAACAAATAATGCAGAAATATATGTGGTATGATGTGATATTTTAATATATGTTTATATTGTGGAATGATCAAATCAAGCTGATTAGGAGATCTATCACCTACCTACTTATCACTTTTTTTTATGGTGAGAACATTTAAAATCTACTCTTTTCGCAATTTAAAAAGTACAATACATTATAATTAACTATAGTTCTCATGCTGTGCAACATATCTCTAAAATTTACACATCTTATCTAACTGAAACTTCATACTCTTTGGACATTTCCCCATTCAATAATAATTTTTGACTCGCCACCAAAGCTACATTCCAAATCTCCCCTGATTATTATAACCACCACAATTTTTTTTCCTCAATTAGAGATGATGAAGTCTTGACTTTGTCCCCTGGACATGTCTAATTTTAAGAGTTTTGGGTTTTGACAACATTATGATGTAGTATTTGAATGTATCACGTAGAATGAAATTTATTTATTTTGCCTAATAGTCTAATATTTTTATAGCACTATTCAAAGACGTTTATGTAAAAGTTAAAATAGGGATTCATTAGATAGCTAAATAATAGATAAAAAGAACATCGATAGATAGACAGAATTTTATTCGAGAGCCTTAACTACCTTCTCTAAAATCCTCTCTACTACATAATTTCTATATTAGTTCCAAAATGATTTATTAAAAATCCATATCAGTTTCTCGTAGTCCTGTCATTTGCCTGAAATTGCCCTTAATTTACCTTACTTTACATCATCTTCCTCAGTGAATAAGGATTCCTTCAAGTCTCATTTCTTCCTCTTTTCTCAATATTCTTTAAAACGTAAGTCACTACTTCCTTTGATGAATAAGTTTATTTCAGGAAATGAATATATTTCCCATTATTAATTTTGGCTCTGTGTTTGGAAAATAAATGTTCCTAGCTTTGTGTGTTATTTATTGCACCATTTTGTAAATTGCATGTGAATTTTAAAATTTACTTTATACAAAGTAACTACTTCATAACAAAATATTGATTGTTAATCAGGGAGTAGTTTTTAATCATTATCTATTTTGAGACACGTGTATTTAAGTCACATATAGTCATTTTTCTACATGTTTTTCAGTTACTTTTTTATATCAGTTTGGGATTTTTTAAGTTGATGTATAATATATAATAATAATTTTTTCATTTAAGATAAAAAATGCCCCAGGTTAGCAATTTTGCACCGAATTATTGATTTATTGTAATAAATTTACATAAAATTTAAATGTACTTTCTACAAGTCAGCAACAGCTTCTTTTACAATGTGATATTCAGTCTGATAGCCATAAAAGTCTACGGCATCTGGAAGTAAAGTTAACATAAAACATGCAAGATCTTTATAGAGAAAATTATGTAAAACATTTTAATGATAAAAATGAGAAGCTGAACAAGTTAGATACATGTTCATAAATAGGAAAACTAATACAATAAAATGTATTTTCCCAAATATACCTTTAAACTCAGTGTATCTCAATCCATCTTCAAAATAATTTTTTTTTTCTGAGACATGACAATGTAACTCTAACATATCATGGAAACATAAAAGGTCTAGGAAATAAAAATAGCTTTGAAATAAGATTGCTGTACTTATTTTGTAAAATCGTATTGATTTATTTTAAATCTATAATAATTAAGCCAACATAATAGTGGTGTGAAAATAGAAAAATAGACCATATGGATGGAAAGTTCAGGAACAAACCCACCATATTGAAATCAGATATATAACAGAGTAGTAGTATTACAAATTCACAGTTACAGTTGAACTATTGAACAAATGGCACTCTAAGAAACAGGCTTATATATTATATATTTATATATGTGTGTGTATTTACTATATACTATATGTATATACTGTGTGTGTGTGTGTATATATATATATATCACAATCCACATATAAAAGAATAATCTAGGGAATTATATGCCTAAAAAAAGGTAAATATACTTTAAAATGTATAGATACATATATATATATCTTTTTTTTAAAGAACATGTAGTGGAGATGTATATACAGGAGCAAGAACTATTAAAAACACTATTACATTAAAGTTAGAAATCATCTTTCTAACTTTCATAAATTTCATAAATATACATAAGGCATATAAATATATAATAAAAAGATAAACAACTCCCCTAAAAAGGACAAAGAATGTGATTATGTATTCTCAAAAAAAGTAAACCAAGTAGAGAATAAATTTTTTTAAAAAATGTTTAACCACACTAGTAATCACAGGGGGAATATTAAAAACAAATGGAATATTACTTCACATCTATTATTTCAGAACAAATTAAAAGTCTGGAAACATAAAATGTTGACAAGGAAGTAAATTAATAAATCTCACATTTTAGGTATGCTTGCCAGGTACTGCTATGAATGCTGTTCATGTATCATTTTATTAAATTCTTTCAAAATATTATGATCTTGTACTATTATTTTACACATGATAGAAGTAAGGTAAAGGAAGCAATAATAACCTCCAGGTCAAACAGCTGATTAAGTCTTAGAGGCTTAATAAAGTCTAGGCCATCTCACTCCAGCATCCATCTGCTCAACCATTATGCTGTTCTGGCTGTTTTACAGAAATCACACCCAAAAAGCTCCATTCACATTTAATTGGCCATTCTTAACTAAAGAACAGACTAAGAAATGTGGTCTCTGAATGGGCACACTTCCACAAGGATTAAAAGTTAGAGTGTTATACCGAAAGATGGAGGATGGTTATTAGATAGCTAATGTGTATATCCTATGTCTCTTCCACTTGTAGGTATAGAACCTTGGGGAAACTTCCACAGCATAGAAGACAGGAAAACATGCACATCATATTGTTTGCACTAAGAAGTAAATTGGGACTAGTCAGCATGCATCAATAGGATGTATGTATTATTATTGTTGTATAGTCATGGTTAAAAAAATGAGTGAAGCAGACATACGTATATCATCAGGGGAATCATAAATTAATAATATTGAGAAACAAAATAAAAATTCACAATAATATATTCAATTTGTTATAACTTATTTAAAGTTTATGAACATACCAAACACGGCAGGTGCATATGCCTTAAAATTGGAAAAGTCTGCATAACAGTTATACATATCAATGACAGGGTGCAAGAAATGATGGGAAAATGAACATTCTAAGCAAGAATTTAACAATATTTTTCATGTTTTATTTCTTTAAAATGATGGCAACACCTATGTCAAACTCTTAGATTGAGTTAGATTTGAGTAGGATGTTCATAAAATGTTTATGTTAATCACTTTAATTTTATATATTTAAAAAAATTGATGAGAAAGTATAATCCAGTCCATCAAAAAATGAAAATAATAATAACATGCAGGGTGAACATTTTGATTCAGTTTGGTTGCTCACAACTGAGCTCCAGTTTACATTTGTGAAGTTCCTCTTCACATGAATCCTACTGAAGGGCAAAGACCATCGCTCTTTAGGTCCACTGAAAACTCTACTCTCTTCTTTCCAGTTTCCCTACAGCTAGGGCAAAATTATGAGGCCTATGATAGACTTTGACTCTGGGGATGATGATTCAAGAGAAAGAAAGGGTTAGAAGCTGTCTTTTCCTTATTGCGAGGATAGTAACACAACTGGAAAGTCGCATCCTGAAGCAGAAGTAGAGACAGAACCAAGCTCCAGCCTGCTGGCAGGAGCAGCTGTTTCCTCTCTAGGCTAGTTGTGAACTGTAGTTTGAGCCTAATTGTCAAGCCATCTAACACATTTTCAAAACAACCCAGTATCTATTTAATCTTTTTTTCTGTTTACATATCAGAGTTAACTTTTCTTGGGAAGAAATGAAGTGGAAATATGGTTGCTGCCTAAGAAGTAATAATAGGAGATACAGGAAGCAGTTTGAAATGGAATAGGTATGTAAAACACTAATGGAGCAGAAATACAGTCGAAAATAACATGCAAAAACAAACATAGTAAGCAACTATAGAGAATGCATTTTGGAGCTCATATATGGACTTTTACAGGTGTAGTATATAATGAAGCAAAGCCAGGATTTTGAAACATATGAGGGGACTTTAAAAAGTTCATGGAAAAATGGAACTAAAAGATAAAAGTAAAAAAAATACAAACTATTTCTCAACATAAGGTCCTTCAAGATCAATACACTTTTGCAAACGATGACAACAGCCATTTATTTAACTGATAAAGAGCTAAAAGTCCTGGGAATTCAACCATGTCCTGCAGTCTTCTTTACATTATTAACTGAAGAAAAGTGGGTGCCCTTTACAGATTTTTTTAAGATTAGGGAACAAAAAGAAGTCAGCAAGAGCCAATTCAGGATGGTAAGGTGTATGCTTACCACTTTATCATTAAAACTCTCATAAAATTGCTCTTGTTTGATGATAGGAATGAGCAGAATCATCATCCTCAAGGAGAAGGACTCTCTGATGAAGCTTTTCCAGGCATCATTTTCTCAAAATGAGTTATCTGTTTGTAAACTACTGATTTCTTTAGGTGGCAGGGGGTGGAAGGGGGCATTGTCCCATAAACCTTTCTCTCCTGTTTTTACACACGAAGTCACTATTTTATTAATCCTAATTAGGTATTTTTAATTTTGGGTATCCATCACATGAAGCATTTATCATTTCTTTTTGAATAGAACATTTCAAAGCATCAGTAATTTCACCATTCTTTCACCCAAGCTTCACCATAAATTTGATGTTTGTTCCTGCTTCAATTTTAGCAGAATGTATGTTACTCTGATAGGGGCTGTTTTCAAACTGATGTCTTAACCTTCTTAGAACCACAAACTAGATATTTTTCAGACATGATATAACTTAGTATGAGTTTGTTTTGGTTCAAAAAGGTTTTGAAATCCATGCAGTTTTTTTCGTAATATTTTCATAACCTTTTTCATTAATTTTTTGAAGACCCCTTATATAGTCTTCAAATCTTTCTAAAGTCAAGAGGAGACACACACACTTTACACACATAGCCAATACAGTATTGTAAACACTATAGCTCTTATTCATGAATGGCATAATTACAAATTAAAATCTGTATAGGATTTACACAAATATTTTCAAGTGCACTATTTATTCCCTCCACATTCAAGAGAATATTCCAATGCATAGTGGAGTGTGTGTGTGTGTGTGCATTTTCTCTATTGCCTCACAATGCATCATGTTATTGTCACTATTTGACCAAGATCCTGTTTAGTTCTAGATTGATTTTAAACAGCTAAAAATGTTTGCAAAAATAATTGCAATTTCTTGCTTCGTGTCCACATACATTCTGTAAAATTTTCACTTGATTAAGGCAGCCCTCTTTATAAGAGTTTCTATTAGTCTTAGAGTAATTGAAAGCATTTTGTGTTTGTCATATCTTTTTATGTGTTTGTAATTTTTTAATTTCCAGTTATTATTAGTTGAGAAAATAAATGATTAAAAAACTATGAAAAATCTTCTACTTGCATGATTTTGGGTGAGATATTAAATCTATCTGAATTTCAGATTTATGAACTCTAAAGGGTTGATGAGAGTAACTAAAATGTTTCTCCTAACATTAACATTCTGATTCTAAGTTTACAGACTGATTTTTTGTGGGGGCAAGATGGTACTGAAAGAAACGTTTTCTATCACTTTAAACCTAATGAAATTTCCCATTTCCGAGATTTAAGAGAATCATTCAAGAAGAAATACAAAGTCATAAAATTAGGGACATTCTACAATTTATTATGGAATAACTTGACAACCCAGAATTGACATTTTGTAACTGTTACTCTCTCCAGATATTATTTTTTCTCGTAAATATGCTTAGGAAATATTTTGTGAATATACTTTAAAAAGACATATGGAGAGAATTACTCATTTGTGTGCTATTCTACATGTGGATATTTTGTTGGCAACTCAGGCTTAATTTAATTCTACTAGTTGTCTACTTTACAGAAATGTAAAATAACATCTTTACCAGGAAGTTTCAATCAAAAGCTCTATTTAGTCTTTTGTAATATAAAAATATTACATTCAATACTGACAGAAACTGTACAATCATATTATAGTCTACTTTCCCATCTGTTACTGGATATAAACTGAGTTAAAGTTTCTGTTGTATGAGAAGAGTAAGCTAAGTTTTATTAAGCACCTGCAATTTTCCAGGGACTATTTCCAGGGACTATTATTTTATTTTTCCTCTTTGACATATCTATGTGGTGCAAATTATGACTATTTTAAAGATGAGGAAACTGAGGTTCTGAGTGAAGCATCAAGTGGAGTTTGAAATAGATTTGCAAGGTGACTTATACACTGTTATTTAATCTTAATAACAATCCTTTTTAGTTAGAGATCACTCTTTTCCTGTTAGATATTGAAATACTGATATTTATAGAGGTTAAGTAATTTGCCTTACCAGACTTGCAAATGGCAGAACAGCAGAAAGCTAATTCTGTTTATAGCTAAAGACTTGCCCATTTTTAGTCTACTATGATTTAGAATTATTAACTTATTTCCTTCCTTCATGCGTATCTATTTTTTATAAGACTGGCGAATAGGAGAGGCGAGCTTGCTCCATTACAGACATGTGTGTTCATATGTATGTGTACATGTGTTTATTTAAGTGTTAAAATAATTGGAGGAATTTCACTGTATGAGGTATAAGTATCCTGCAATGAAAGACCATAAACTATATACAGGGAAAGTATTCATGCTCGTACAAAACAGAGAGTGTGACAATGTCACAAATGAGAAACTTAGAAAATATATGATTTACCATAATTCTGCACAAACTCTATGACTATCAGAATCTATAGACTGTCAGAACCTAAGTATTTAGATTGATTCATTCTAGATACACATCTAAGGTAGCAGAGACTAACTAGTCAATATTCTTCACCGAATCAGAGAGTATTTAAACTCTTCTCTAAACAGCTAAAAAGGATCAAGAATGAGAAGCATGTTTAACATCAGCTTAGCAGCCGTATACTATTTGTTACAGAAACAACTTGTGATAGAGGACAGAAGCCATATCAGAAGTCACGGAATTAATTATGTGAGTCTGGGATCAGTGAGAGATGAAAATTGAGAAGAAAGAAAACTGTAAGACTCTGTGACTTGAAAAATCCAGGAGAGACAGGTAAAGAACAGAAGCCAATATCACACCCTAGGAGATTCAGAATTAAGCATGCCGAATTCACGCTTCACAGTGAGAAGGGTGGTAGATCAGAAATTAAGATCAGATTGTTGATTTTCCTAAGTACTGGAGAAGTTGAGTTATATAAAAAAGCTAAGAGTCATTAAGGTGTGTCATCTTTAAAGAGAAATTTTCAGAATTTATTGAAGCTAGTTTATTTTTTAAATTTTATATATATATATTTACTAGTTTTCATTCAGTAATTTCAAAATTGCCAGAGGAGAAAATCATGGCAGTGGGCATATGATCATCTCAGAGAAAAAGAAACACATTAATGGTCTCTTCTTTCTTCTGGAGCTATATAATAGGAAGCAAGTATTTTCCAGGAAATGGAGGTGACATACGTGTAGATAGATTCCTTTCCTGGTACCTTACAGATAGAGCTAACTAGAGTTTAAAACCCATATGCATAGGCTGAGTAATCCAGCCTGCAAGTGTGAGTGGGCATACTCTTGTAAGAATTATTATAAAACCATACAAATTAAATCCTTTAAGAAAGCATATTATTTTCAATTTTTTTAGCCCCTTATTATCTATCTTTGTCTCTATATCTATCAGTCTCTCTCTATATAAACAGAGATTGAAAATTGAATGACTCAGTTTTCCTGTAGAGCAATATAAATACAGTCACACGTTTCTTAACAATTGAGATATATTCTGGGAAATGCATCATTAGGCAATTTTATGGTTATGCAAATGTCATTGGTTGTGCAAACCAACTTAGATGGTAGAGCTTACTAAAAATGCAGGTTATACGGTATAGCCTATTACTCTTAGGCTACAAATCTGTGCAGCATATTACTGTACTTACTATTGTATACAATTATAACACAATTGTATTAGTGTATCTAAATATATCTAAATACAGAAAAGGTACAGTAAAAATATGGTATTATAATCTTATTTGACCACTGATGTATATGCAGTCCATGACTGACCAAAACATTGTTACGCATGGCATGACTATATTTGGGTAAGCAATATCTAGTGTGGACTATAAAACATTACCTTCAATAGAATTACAGAAAGCCCAAGAACTTAGCGAGTCAATATCAGGAAATCAATAATTCATTGATGAAATAAAAGTCAAACATTAAAATTCCAGAAGAATTGAATGCTGGATGAAAATTAGGTTCTATTTTCAATATTTTTTACTTAAAGAGGCTACACGTGAATATTATTATACTGTAATTGAATCAAATTTATAGAGAGAGTTTAAACATTTTTGGACTAAGCTTTCTTCTGTAACAATGAATACACACATTTTATGTATACACAACCATATATGGTTGGCTATAATCATTGAAATTTAAATGTCTTAATTTAAATGCATTTCTCTTGTCAAAAAAATC
Source organism: Homo sapiens (assembly GCF_000001405.40). Lineage (NCBI taxonomy): Eukaryota > Metazoa > Chordata > Mammalia > Primates > Hominidae > Homo > Homo sapiens. Next base: position 38,874,640 of record NC_000011.10, on the reverse strand, counting down.
TTGGAAAGAAATCTGTTGTCTAAGCAATCATTCATAAAGTTTTGTGTGAACATTTTAGTTGAGATATTCTGATGTATTCGGAGATACACATGATATAAGCCAAGTCTGTTAAAACTGAAATAAATAAATAAATGTGTGTATGTGTATATATGAAAATAACACACATATGTACATTTAAGTATACACACACACATATATATTCTCATATATATAATTTCAGAAATTGCATAGATTTCAAAGTGAGAGTCTATTATACAATGACATGTTTTACAAAGTGAGGTTATTTTGAAAATAAATGATGCTGGGAAATGTAAGAGAATTTTAAAAGTGGGCAAAGAGCACAAATAGACATTTTTAAAAGATATACAAATGGAAAAGCATATGATCTGTATCTACCCAAAGGAAAATACATTATGTAAAAAGAGATCTTCACTCATATGTTTATCACAGCATTATTCACAATAGCGACGATATGGGATCACTCTAAGTATACATCAATGAATGATTGAATAAAGAAAATGTAATATATATATCACATTTCTATATACATTTCATATACACTTCACATATCCATACATTTCTCAAGTTACAGATATTTTGTTATATTATTATCCCAAAGTTTTTAACCATTTATATTTTCATCAATAGGATATAACAGCACCCATGTCCCAATCCATATTATTTCTAAAAGCGAATAAGACTGTGTAAAAAAGAATAGCTTTGACTATCTTATTAAAAAAAAACTATCCTAGGGATTTGATTGACATTTTCTTGATTATTGGTGATGCTGGAAGTGCTTTCATTTTCTTGTTTTTCATATATTTTCTTTTATAATGCACTGATTTATGTTTGCCTGTTTACCTATTGAAGTTTTCAGCTCATTTTTAATAAAAGAGCTATATATATACACACACACACATACGTGCATACATATATATGTATGTATGTATACATATGTATGTATAGATAGGTCTTTTATAGTATGTCTGTGTATAGATGTATACATATGTATACCTGTATCTATGTATCTATGTATAGATGTATGTATGCATCTATATACATAGACATATACATAGACATTCTATATATATATACACATAGACATCCGTATGTATATATGTATACATACATATACATACGTATACATATATATACATATATATACATACATATACATATATATACATATATACATACATATACATACATATACATATATACAGATGTACACATGTATACATACGTATACATGTATACAGATGTATACATAGACATACTATAAAAGAGCTACATATACACATATATACATATATAGCTCTTTTACATATAAATATATATAGCTATATATGTATATAGCTCTTTTACTTAAAAAAAGAGCTGAAAACTTCAACAGGTAAACAAGCAAACATAAATCAATGCATTGTAAAAGGTAATATACAAAAACCAAAGAAGCCATATATGTATATATGTATATATGTGTATATGTATATATAGATACATATACACATACACAGCTATTTTAGTAAAAGCTGTATATACATATATACTGCTCTTTTATATTTATACATATGTACAGCTCTTTTACAAAAGAGCTATATATGTATGCATACAGAATATATATATACATTTTATATATATATATATACACTATATACACACACACACAAAACGTAATAGTATTCAGCCATTTAAAAAAAAGAATAAAATGTTATGATCTGTAGCAACATGGATAGAACTGGATACAGTTATCTTTAACAAAAACACTCAGAAATAAAGTTAATACCTCATGCTCTCACTTATAAGTAGAAGCTACATAATGTGTGCCCATGGACATAGAGTGTGTAGTAATAGATCCTGGAGACTCAGAAAGAGGGTAGGGTGGGAGGGAGGTGAGGTATGACAAATGACTTAATAGGTACATTGTTTGGGTGATGGTTACACTAAAAGCCCAGGCTTCATCACTACGTAATATATCCATAACAAAACTGTACTTGTACTCCTTAAATTTATATTTTAAAAAACATAGGCAACCTTAAAAGCTATCTCTTTTGGAATTTATGAAACACAGTACCTGTATCACTTTCTCTCAAACAAGCGATACAACATGTTATACACCATGCTAATTGTGACTGTTGAATATCTGGCAGTGTTTCTAAGGACTCATTGCTTTTTAACAACAACCACAGAAATAATTAATTTGCCACGTTAACAAAAGGGAGAAAGTGAAAGAACAGGTAGATTTGGTAGGTGCCATTTGAAAATTTAGGTCCATTTTGTATTTAAAATAATTGAGGTTCAGATAGTAAAATAAATGTTGGCCTAACTGCCAATTAGTGACAAGCATTTTTAACGCCAGCCCTGCCTGACATGAATTGCTACATTTTATTTTCCCGGTTTTTATATTATCTTCCACTTTTAGGCCTAACATGACATAGACTTTTTTAAAGTTTTATTTCAAAATGGTAACTATTCTTTCCGGAACAAAAGTAAAATAACCAATTCCAATAGAAACTAAACAAATATTATCAGCATGTCTATGATTTCTATACATTTTCAAATATGAAGTTTCTATGTATACATTTATTTAATTTTACTAAATTGGAATTTTTCTATATGTACCAATTTATAACATACTTCCTCCCTTTTGTGAGCATTTTTACATACCAATAATATTTTCACACAATTATTATTTTGATGGATTCATAAAATGATTAATTTACAGTCATGTCTCACATTATCACATTTTGGTCTTCTTACACAACAGTGGTCTCGTAACATTACAATGGAGCTGAAAAATTCTTAATGCCTAAATATATCATAACCATTCAGTTACAACTGCCTACATTATTCAGTACAGTAATATGTTGTACAAGTTTTTAGGAGCATTGGACTACATACACCATATAGCCTAGATTTGTATTGTAGACTATACCATCTAGGTTTTTGTAAGTACTACTGTGTACTCACAATGAAATCGTCTAGCTCATTTCACAGAACATATCTCTGTCATTAAGCAAAGCAAATGTTATATATTATTGGATATTTGTACAATAATATATAATATGTATTCTTGGATATATTTATATATTATTTAATATATTATTGGATTTCTATATTATTGGATATTTCTATATTGTCCTGTTCCTGTTGCCTCCTCAGAATATTTTACATTAATTACTGACTTTTCTATGAAACAGCTCATAACTTGTAGTTGTGAATATTATTGTTTTAAAGTAGAAACATGTTTGAGAAATACTTCTGTGATATTGTACAATTAGCAACTTTAAAAATCTCTTTTCATTTGATGCTGATGCACTAAAATATTCATCTTGATCAAAAGTTCACTATATTGAAATATCTATTGTGATATTTAGGGGAAGAATTTAATCTAATATCACCTTAATCGTTATACATGCTTTAGCAACATTTTGTAAATCAGACCACTAATAACTTACATTCTTGTCTGTTTTGGAAATTGCTTCTCTTTGCTTTTGACCAAACTTGTCTGAAAACATGCTTTCATTTTTAATGCTAACTACTTCTAGTGTTTGTCTTTTTAGGTCTTTGCAAGGAAGAAAAAAAAAGGAAGATATGTTTTTGATTTATAAATTCATTGAGTTTATTTTTCTTTTCTTTTTTCTCTACCCCAGCCATTTCCTTCTCCTGTCCCTCTTCCCTTCCACTTCATCCTCCTCCTCTTTCTTCCTCTCTCTTATTTTTTTATTTATGGGAAAATATAGTGTAGTAATTGATAGCATAGCCACTAGTGTCAGCCCGCCTGGTGTTGGATCTTACATTTTCTGTGTCTGCCTGTGTAAATTTTTGCGTCAATATAATTACTATTTTTAAACCTATAAATCAGGATAGTAATAGTATTTGCTTCAGAAAGGACCCAAGATTACATGTTCACTGAGTTTAAAAGAGCTCTGTCTGCCAGTATGTGCACAGCATGCATTACATTTTATTAATATTAAAGCAATTAACATTAGATTTATTTTGTTTTTGTTTTTATAACTTGGATTTCCTCTCCCATTTCAGAAAGGTCCAAGACTGATTATTTAATGATTTTTGTACACAATAAAAATACACAAGAATATTTTGATATCAAGGTTACTTAACATAAATGATATAAAAATAAGATAAATATAATAGTATGTGAACATAAAACCAGCCTTGACCACTGAGAATACTAGCTAACAAATATTCTATTATTATTTTTATTATATTTTATTATGACAAAACAAATTCCTATTGAATATATAAATATAAAAAGTTAAACATAAAAGAGCTAGAAAATATAGAAAGAGAAATATCTTTTAGGACATATAGTGAGAACACACACACATATATTATATCTCAGAATTTGAAATATTACTTAAAAACAACTGGTAAAACAATGTTTCTGTTTTACCATTGCCTTTAGGCAACTGAATTGCTACATTGTATTTTCTCTTAAACCCAAGAAAATTCCCTGTGTTAGAACAACTTGAATGAAAAGAAGAATAAACAGGTGTCCAACAATAACATTTCCAAGATAGGAAGAAAGCGAGGGTTCAAAACGGAGGTAAGTAAATGAAATGTTGGTATACTTTATGCTCAGGATAACAACTTGTTGGGTTTATTCTATTTTTTGCATTTGCTTCTTATTTATCATTTTAATTTACAAAACTCTTGTGGTACCAAGTCTGCTTTCCAAGGCATACACACACTGGTGAAATGGAATGACCGGTTTATGTAACTTCCTTTCCATTCTATGATGTAAGTACCACACAAATGTTTTCCCAGGGTGTTGAAAAAGTGTAAGTAATTTTCTGAAGATTTGCACTTTGCTTCATCATAGGTAGTGAAAAATACAAAACCTATTTGCAGAAGGATTGAGAATATCTTAGCTTTTTGGATATTTTCTCTTCTGAGACTTGTTTTAAATTCAGGTCAGAAAAGCTAGTGTAATATTGGAATTGAAAAGAGCAACAGTGTTTTGACATTGTATATCTTGGCATAAACCTTGCATCATTCGCAGTATGAGATGTCATGAAACTCAACTCAGCATAACATAAAATCAAATGGGTTAAAGGAGTTCAAATAGCAAACATCCAGGTGTCTTCGCTGTCCAGCATCTAGTAATAGGAGGACATTGAGACAGAATAATATCATACCATTTATTATTCAGCATTTATTGTGTACCCGCTATGTGCCAAGGGCTGTGTCAAGGACATGAAAATTAATAAAAAAAAAACTCTTACTCTTGAAAAGGGAATCATCTGACAACTAGCATTTATTGAAAACTCAAGCATTGAACTCTGCATTTTGCATGTATCTCTGTTTAATCTTTACATTAACTTCGTGAATATAATATTATTATTTTAAAGATGTGGAAAGAAGATGCAAAAATGTTGATTAAATTATCTAAGGTATTTAACCTGCCATTGGCTGATACATATTTCAAACAAGCCTGCCTTAACCACAAAATGTTTATGCTTTTAGTTATATATAATGTGTCTCACCAATCACTGAAGGGGACAAGTCATCCATGTAAGAAATTAACTCAACCCAGGGGAGAGGACATATTCCTGTAATCTCAGCTACTCAGGAACCTGAAGCAGGAGGATAATTTCAGGGAAGGAATTGAGACCAGCATGGGCAACATAGCAAGATGTAAAAAAACAAAACAAAACACAATTTTTTAATGTTAACTAGGTGTGGTGGCATGTTCCTGTAGTCCCAGCTACTCAGGAGCATGAGGCAGGAAGCTTGCTTGAGCCCCAAAGTTCAAGGGTGCAGTGAGCTATGGTTGCACTTCTGCATTCCAGCCTAGGTGACAGAGAAAGATCCCCTCTCAAAAAACTTAATTTATTGTCAAATATACTTTTGCATAACTGTGTGCAAATTATGTAGCTGTAAAAATAAGGCTATGATGTAATTATGCCCTGAAACTGTTTGTTTGTTGCTGTTTTTGGTTTTGTTTTATTTTTGCTTGGTATTGGTGATGTATGGAGTAATGTGTTCACTGGTCTTTGAGGTATAATCATACCTTTGCCAGATGGAGAACAGTTGAGCAGTATATTCCAGGAATAGGGAATATTATGTCTAAAACATTACATAGTCAAGGAATTACAGCAAAGTTTTGTTTATAAAGAGGAGAGGAAAAAAAAAGAATGATACAAGGAATATAAATGGGGCGGGCTCTGTATGTACGCATTTTTAGAATATAAAATGTTTTTCTATAGAAAATAAAGAAACCATGATATGAATATAATATGTGGGGAGCATAAACATGTCTGCAGTTTATTAATATTTATTTTTAATAAACATTTCTTTGAATGCATATTAAGTGTGTGTACTATAATGACTTACATCGATTTACAAAGATGCCAGCCTCCATTTGACAGTAGATCCCAAGGGGCCCAATCTAAGCTCTATCCCCTCTTGTAGTTAGGGAACTACGTTAATTTTTCAGGGACCTGCTGGGGCTCCTTCCCACAGCAGAGCATTTCCACACAGCCACAGTACCATTCTTGGGTTTTCTCCAAGTCCATCTCAGCCAAAAATCCGTGTCAATCATCAAGTAAGTCTTCATGATACAGTACATCTTGGCTTAGAGCATCCTTTAGTGCAGAGATGGCTACAGTGGTTAGAGGATCAGGAAATAAAACAGTTAGTATACTTAGAATTCCTGGTAAACCTTCTGAAGAACAGGTACAAAAAAAAAAAAACCCAGACTGAAAGGTAAGATTAAGATAACAGATAGGAGGCAAGACTAGCTTGCAGCTCCCACTCAGACAGAGCAGGATGTGGAGAGTAACATTGTGAACTTTTGCTCCCAAAACTGCTGCAGGAACATACCAGGAAAGCTGAAAGAATCCACAGACCCTTTGAAGGAACTGGATCTCCACTGCAGGCTGCCCGAAATGCTGAAAAACTGTGTCTGCTTACTTTCTCAGTGGAGAGACTGGTGGTCTGGGGCAATTTCTCAGCCCTGGCCACCGGCTACCTGGAAATAGACTTGGTGCTGTTCCAGGGTAACAACGGGAATGAGATTGGCCTTAAAGACTGCAGGCTGTGTGGGAGTGGGATGAGGCTGAGGGCTTTCCCACACTTCCCTGGTGACCTTATGACTCAGCAGAGGCAGCCATAATCATCCTGGGAACATAACTCCATTGGCCTAGAAACCACACTCCATCCCCTAGAGCAGCTGCAGGGATCCCCACCCAAGGGAAGTCTGAGCTCAGGCACTCCTATCCCTGCCCCCACCTGGTGGTCTTTCTCTACCCACCCTGGTTGCCAAAGACAAAGATCAGAATCTCTTGGAGGCTCTGTGGCCCTACCCACCACCTGAGGCCTCTCAATACTTAACCAGGCAATCATAGGGCAAGTTTGCATCCTTCCTATGAAATCACAGCTGATGTGCTCTTGAAAGTGCCACTTCCTGGCTGGAGGCCAACCAACACAAAACAAGTGCACTAAACAAAAATACAAACCACGACCCTCATAGAGTCCACTTCACTCCCCTGCTGCCTCCACTGGAGTAGGTGCTGGTATCCATGGCTGAAAGACATGAAGATGGATCACATCACAGAACACTTTGCAGACACTCCCCAGTACCAGCCCAGAGCCTGGTAGCTCCTATGGATGGCTGGACCCAAAAGAGCAAAAACAATCATTGCAGTTCAGCTTTCAGGAAGCCCCATACCTAGGGGAAGGGGGAGGGCACCACATCAAGGGAGCACTCTGTGGGACAAAAGATAATCTGAGCAGCATCCCTTGAGTCCCAGATCTTCTCTCTGACATAATCCACCCAAATGTGATGGAATCAGATAAAGAATTCTGGTAATAAAACAAGCTTCTTTAACACCTTCAAAAAATCACAACAGCTCACCAGCAAATGGATCCAAACCAAGATGAATTCTTCGAATTTCCAGAGCAAGAATTCAGAAGGTTATTAAGCTAATCAGGAAGGCACCAGAGAAAGGTGAAGTCCAACTTAAAGAAATCAAAAATATGATACAGGTTATGAGAGGAAAGGTCTTCAGTGAAATAGACAGCATAAAAAACAATCGCAACTTCTGGAAATCAAGGAGACACTTATAGAAACGCAAAATGCAGGCTGGGCGCAGTGGCTCACACCTGTAATCCCAGCACTTTGGGAGGCCAAGTTCAGGAGTTCGAGACCAGCCTGGCCAACATGGTGAAATCCCATCTCTACTACAAATACAAAAATTAGCTGGGTGTGGTGGTGGGCACCTGTAATCCCAGCTACTCTGGAGGCTGAGGCAAGAGAATTGCTTGAAACCGGAAGGGGGAGGTTGCAGTGAGCTGAGATCATGCCCCTGCACTCCAGCCTGGGCAACAAGAGCAAAACTCCATCTCGAAAAAAAAAAAATCCAAAATGCACTGGAAAGTATCAGAAATAGAATCAAAAGAATCAAACAAGCAGAAGAAAGAACTTCAGAGCTCAAAGACAAATCTTTTGAATCGATCCAATCCATAAAAGACAAAATAAAATAAATAAATAAATAAATAAATAAATAAATAAATAAATAAAGCCTCCAAGAAGTTTGGGACTATATTAAACATCCACACCTAGGAATAATTGGTGTTTGGATACATCAAAATGTTTGGAAAACATATTTGAGAGAATAATTGAAGAAAACTTCCCCAGCCTTACTAGAGATCTAATCATCCAAATACAGAAGGCTTAAAAAATACCTGGGAAATTATTGCAAAAAGGTTATCACCTAGTCATACAGTCATCAAGTTATCAAAATTCAAGACAAAGGAAAGAATCCTAAGAGCCATGAGGCAAAAGCATCAGGTAATGTACAAAGGAAAAACCTAAAACCTATCACAGAAAAAGCAGAAATCCTACAAGCTGGAAGGGACTTGGGTCCTATTTTTAGCCTCTTTAAACAAAACAATTATCAGTCAAGAATTTTGTATCCAGCTAAACTAAGATTCACAAATGAAAGAAAGATACAATTTTTCTTCCAGACAAACAAATGCTGAGACAATGAACCACTGCCAAGCCAGCACTACAAGAACTGCTAAAAGGAGCTCTAAATCTTGAAGCAAATCCTCAAAATACACCAAGATAGGACCTCCTTAAACCATAAGTTTCACAGGACCTATATAAGAATAACACAATGAAACAAACAAAACAAAACAAGATATTCAGGCAACAAATAGCATGATGAATAGAATAGTATCTCACTTCTCAATACTAATGCAGAATGTAAATGGCCTAAATTCTCTGCTTAAAATATATAGAATGGCAGATGGGATAAGAGTTTACCAACCAAGTTTCTGCCATCTTCAGGAGACTCACCTTACTTATAAGGACCCATATAAACTTCAGGTAAAGGGATGGAAAAAGGTATTCCATGCAAATGGACACCAAAAAGAAGCAGGAGTAGCTATTCTTATATCAGACAAAACAAACTTTAAAGCAACAGCAGTTAAAAAGAACAGGGACATTATATAATGATGAAAGGACTAGTCCAACAGGAAAATATCACAATCCTAAATATATATGCACCTAACACCAGAACTCCCAAATTTATAAAACAATTGCTACTAGACCTAAAAAAAGGTATAGATGGCAACAGAATAATAGTGGGGGACTTCAATACTCCACTGACAGCACTAGACAGGTCATCAAAACAGAAAGTCAACAAAGAAACAATGGACTTAAACTATACCCTACAACAAATATACTTACTAGATATTTACATAACATTCTACCCAACAACTACAGAATATACTTTCTATTCATCAGCACATTGAACATTCTCCAAGATAGACCATATGATAGGCCACAAAACAAGTCTCAGTAAATTTAAGAAAATCAAACCTATATCAAGTACTCTCTCAGACCACAGTGGAATAAAATTGGAAATCAACTCCAAAAGGGATGCTCAAAATGATGCAAATACATGGAAATTAAATAACCTGCTCCTGAATGATTGTTAGGTCAAGAATGAAATCAAGATGGAAATTTGAAAATTCTTTGAACTTAATGACAATAGTGACACTGCCTATCAAAACTTCTGGGATACAGAAAAAGTAGTACTAAGAGGAAAGTTTATAGCATTAAATGCCTACATAAAAAAAAAAACTGAAAGAGACAATAGACAATCTATTGTGTTTCACACCTCATGAAACTGTAGAAACAGGAGCAATCCAAACCCAAACCCAGTAAAAGAAAAGAAATAATAAAGATCAGAGCAGAACTAAATGAAATTGAAACAACAACAACAAAACAATACAAAATATAAATGAAACATAAATCTGGTTCTTTGAAAAGATAAATTGAGAGACCATTCATGAGATTAACCAAGACAAGAAGAGAGAAGAAGCAAATAAGCTCAATTAGAAATGAAACAGGAGATAATACTACTGATACCACAGAATTAGAAAAGATTATTCAAGGCTCCTGTAAGCACCTTTACATGCATAAACCAGAAAACCTAGAGGATATGGATAAATTCCTGGAAATAAACAACCTTCCTAGATTAAACCAGGAAGATATAGAAACTCTGAACAGACAAATAAAAAGCAGTGAGATTGAAATGGTAATTTTAAAAAAATGCCAACATAAAAAGAAAGTCCAGAACCAGACAAATTTATAGCTGAATTGTGTCAAACATTCAAAGAAGAATGGGTACCAATCCTGTTGACATTATTTCACAAGATAGAAAAAGAGGGAATCCTTCTTAAATCATTGTATGAAGGCAGTATCACCCAAATACCAAACCAGGAAAGGACATAACAAAAAAAAGTAAACTACAGACCAATATCCCTGATGAACATAGATCAAAAAATCCTCAACAAAATACTAGCTAACAGAACCCAACAGCATATCCAAAAGTAATCCACCATGATCAAATGGGTTTCATACCAGGAATGCAGGGATGGTTTAATATCCACAAGTCAATAAACGTGATACACCACATAAGCAGAATTAAAGACAAAAATCACATGAGTATCTCAATAGTTGCAGAAAAAGCATTTGGCAAAATCCAGCATCCCTTTATGATTAAAACCTGCAGAAAAATTGGCATATAAAGGACATACCTTAAGGTAATAAAATCCATCTATGACAAACCCACATCCAACATTATACTGAATGGGGAAAAGTTGAAAGCATTCTCCCGGATAATTGGAACAAGGCAAGGATGCCCACTTTCACTACTTCTACTCAACATAGTACTGGAAGTCCTAGCCAGAGCAATCAGAAAAGAGAAAGAAATAAAGAGCATTCAAATCAGTAAAGAGGAAGTTAAACTGTTGCTGTTTGTTGATGATATGATTGTATACCTAGAAAACCCTAAACACTCCTCCATAAAGCTCCTAGAACTGGCAAATAAATTCAGCAAAGTTTCTGGATATAAAATTAATGTATGCAAATTAATAGCTCTGCTATATACAAACAGTGACCAAGCTGAGAATCAAATCAACAACTCAACCCCTTTTACAATAGCTGCAAAAAAAGAATACTTAGAAATATACCTAACCAAGAAGGTGAAAGACTTCTACAAGGAAAACTATGAAACACTGCTGAAAGAAATCATAGATGACACAAACAAATGGAAACACATCCCATACTTGTGGATGGGTAGAATCAATATTGTGAAAATGATCATACTGCCAAAAACAATCTACAAATTCAGGACAATTCTCATCAAAATACCACTGTCATTCTTTACAGAATCAGAAAAAACAATTCCAAAGTTCATATGGAACCAAAATTGGGCCCACATAGCAAAGCAAAATAAAGAAATCTGGAGGCATTACATTAACTGACTTCAAACTATGCTATAAGGCCAAAGTCACCAAAATATCATGGTACTGGCATAAAAATAAGCATGTATACCAATGGAACAGAATAGAGAACCCAGATATAAAGCCAAATATTTACAGCCCACTGATCTTCGACAAAGAAGACAGAAACACAAAGTTGGGAAAGGACACCCTGTTGAACAAATGGTGCTAGGATAATTGGCAAGCCACACGTAGAAAATGAAATTGGATCCTCGTCCCTCACCTTATACAAAATCAACTCAAGATGGATCAAGGACTACATACAAGACCTGAAACCATAAAAATTCTAGAAGGTAACATTGGAAAATTCTTCTGGAAGTTGGCTTAGACGACAACTTTATGACCAAGAACTCAAAAGCAAATGCAAGAAAAACAAAGATAAATAGGTGGGACTTAGTTAAACTAAAAAGCTTCTGAACAGCAAAAGAAATAGCAGAGTTAACAATTAAACTAAAAAGCTTCTGCACAGCAAAAGAAATGGCAGAGTTAACAGAAAACCCACAGAGTGGGAGGAAATCTTTACAATCTATACATCTGAGAAAGGACTAATATCCAGAATCTACAAAGAACTCACAAATCAGTGAGAAAACACCAAAGAATCCCATCGAAAAATGGGCTAAGGACACGAATAGACAATTCTCAAAAGAAGATATACAAATGGCCAACAAACAAAAGGAAAAATACTCAACATCACGACGAATTATCAGGGAAATGCAAATCAAAATCATAATGCAAAACCATCTTAGACCTGCAAGTATGACCATAATCAAAAAATAAAAAAAAAAATAGATATTGGCCTGGATGTAGTGAAAGGGAACACTTTTACACTGTTGGTGGAAATGTAAACTAGTACTCCCATGGAAAACAGTGTGGAGATTCCTTAAGGAACTACAAATAGATCTACCATTTGATCCAGCAATCCCACTGCTGGGTATCTACTGAGAGGAAAAGAAGTCATTATACAAAAAATATATTTGCACATGCATGTTTATAGCAGCACAATTTGCAATTTCAAAAATATAGAACTAGCCCAAATGCCCATCAATAAATGAGTGGATAAAGAATATATGCTATATATATACCATGGTATACTATTCAGCCATAAAAAGGAATGAAATAATGGCATTCACAACAACCTGGATGGAACTGGAGACTATTATTCTGAGTGAAGTAACTTAGCAATGGAAAACCAAACATCATATGTTCTCATTCATAATTGGGAGCTAAGCTATGAGGACACAAAGGCATAAGAATGATACAATGGACTCTGGGTACTTGGGAAAAAGGGTGGGAAGGGGTGAGTGATAAAAGACTACACAATGGGTGCAGTGTACACTTCTTGGGTGATGGGCACACCAAAATCTCAGAAATCACCATTAAAGAACTTATTCATGTAGCCAAACACCATCTGTTCCCCAAAGACCTATTGAAATAAAAAATAAATTAATAAAAACCAACTGAGACCACATTAGGTACCTAATTCATCAATGTACAGATGTCATCACAAGCATCAAGAACTGTCAGGGAATGTGAACTCAACAAATATACAAAATAATGTGACACAGACCAATGCTAAAGCAAGGAAAATCTGTCATCCCTGAGACAAAGAATTCAAAATAGCTATTTTAAAGAAGCTCAACAACTTCAAGAAAACACAAGAAATCGGTGTAGAAATGTATCAGAGAAATTTAACAAAAAGATTGAAATAATTTCAAAAAAGCAAACAATTTTGGAGCTGAAAAGTACCATGAATGAAATTTACAAATGCAGTAGAGAGCATCAACAGTAGAATTGATTGGACAGAAGAAAGAAGCATGAGCTCAAAGACAGATGATTGGAAAATACACAGAAGAGAGAAAATAACAAAACACGAAAAGAAATAAAGGTTACATGATCTACAGGACATCAAAAGTTCTAATATTTGGGCTAATGGAGTTAATGAGGAAACTGAGAAAGACAAAAGGATAGAAAACATATTAAAAGAAATAATAATAGAGAGGTTTCTAAGCCTGGAGAAATATATAAGTATTCAGGTGCAAGAAGATCAAAGTTTACCAATCAGATTAAAGCAAAATAAAAATATCTCAAGACATATTATAATCAACCTCTCAAATTTCAATGACAAAGAGATGATCCTAAAAGCAGTGAGAGAAAGGAAGCAAATCAGATATGAGTGAGTTAAAATATTCTTGGTGGCCGGGCAAGGTGGCTCACCCCTGTAATCCCAGCACTTTGGGAGGCCAGGTGGGTGGATCACGATGTCAGGAGATTGAGACCATCCTGACTAACATGGTGAAACCCCGTCTTTACTAAAAATACAAAAAAATTAGCCAGGTGTGGTGGCGGGCGCCTGTAGTTCCAGCTACTCAGGAGGCTGAGGCAGGAGAATGGCGTGAACCCAGGAGGCAGAGCTTGCAGTGAGTCGAGATTGCGCCACTGCACTCCAGCCTGGGTGACAGAGTGAGACTCCGTCTCAAAATAAATAAATAAATAAATAAATAAATAAATAAATAAATAAATATTCTTGGCAGCAGACTTCTCAGCAGAAACCTTATAGGCCAGGAGAGAGTGAGATAATATATTAAGAATAATGAAGGAAAACACACACACACACACACACACACACACACACACACACACACACACACACACACACACCTGCCAACCAAGAATGCTGTTTGCAGCAAGTCTGTTTTCCAGAAATGAAGGATTGATAAAGACTTTCCTAGACAAAGAAAAGCTGAGGCTTTTCCAGACAAACAAAAGCTGAGGAAATTTACTATGACTAGACCTGTACTACAAGAAATGTTAAAGAGAGTTCTTCAAACTGAAGGAAAAAACCACTAATGTGATCATTATGCTAATATTGTAATGGTGGTGCATAAGCCACTTTTATCCTTCTTAAGAAGAATACAAGGCAAAATATTAAAATTATCACTGCAAAAAACTTTTAAGGGACAGGAAATATAAAAAATGTAAGTTGTGACGTCAGAAATTCAAAATGTAGGACTAGAAAGGAATTAATGTGTGCACCTGTTTTATAGTTTTTTTGTGATCAAGGTTGAATTGGTATCAGTTTTAAATAACTAGTTATAACTATAGGATGTTTTTTGTAAGCCTCATGGTAAAAAGTAAAAACCTATAATAGAGACATTACAAATTAAAAGCAACAAATTAAAACATACTCCAAGAGAAAATCAAATAATTACAAAGAAAAGCTATAAGAAAGGAAGAAAGAGAGGAGTTAAAAAAAAAAACAAAACAGAAAGCAAATAACAAAAGGCAGTAGTATGTCCTTAACTATCAATAGCAACATTGGATGTAAGTGGACTAAATTCTCTAATTAAAAGACATAGACTGGCTGAATAGATTAAAAATATGTGACTACTATATGCCATCTATGGAAACTCACTTTACCTGTAAAGACACACATAGGCCAAAAGTGAAGGCATGAAAAAATATGTGCCATGCAAATGGAAACAAAAAAAAAAGCAGGAGTAGCTACACTCATATAAGACCAAATAGACTTTATATCAACAACTGTAAAATGAGATATCAAAGGTTATTACATAATGATAAAAGGGTCAACTCAGCAAAAGGATATAATACTACTAAATATATATGTGTATGTAAACATAAACATATATACATATGTACCCAACACTGTAGCACCCAAATACATAAAGCAAATATTAATAGATCTAAAGGGAGAGATAAACTGCAGTACAATATATTAAAGGAATTCAGCACCCCACTTTTGTCAATGGAGAGATCATTCAGACAGAAAATGAACAAAGAAACATTGAAGTTAAACTATATTCTGGACCAAATGGTCCTAATAGACAGTTATCGAACATTGTATCCAGCTTCTCCAGAATATGCATTCTTCTCATCTGCACAGAGAACACTGTCCAGGATACACCATTTGTTAGGCCACAAAACAAGTCTCAACAAATTTAAGAGTCAAAATTATATCAAGTACCTTTCCTGATCGTAGCAAAATAAAACTATACTCAACAACAACAGGAACTTTGGAAACTGTAAAAATACATTAAAATTAAACATGTTTCTGAATAACCAAGGAGTCAATGAAAAAATATAAAAGAAAATTAAAAATGTTTCTCTTAAAACAAATAGAAACATTAGAACCTATGGGATACTGCAAAAGCAGTGCTAAGAGGCCTTATTACAATAAACACCTACATAAAAACCATAAAAAAATTCAAATAACCTAATGATGCACCCAAAGGAACTACAAAAAAAGTGAGAAAAAAATGCAGAATTAATACAGAAACTAAATAATAAAGTTCAGAACAGAAATAAACAAAATTAAGACTGAAAAAAACAAAAGATCAAAAAAGGTTTTATAAAAGATAAACAAAATCAATAAACCTTCACCTAGACTAAGAAAAAGAGAGAGAAAACCAAAACAAAAAAATCAGAGATTAAAAAGAAAAAAGTACAACTGATACCACAAAAATACAAAGAGATCATTAGAGACTACTATGAACAATTCTACTCCAGTTTTACTAGACTCTGATTAATAAATATTTCCAGGTATTAATTTTGTTTTTATATATATTAAAATTTTATTTGGTACTTAGAATATGGCATCACATTTTATGAATACTAAAGGAGTACTTAAAAAGTGATACAGTTTATATTTATAGGACATCATTAGGATATATGGTCTCATATATCCTTATTAATTTTTGGTCTATTTTATCAATTATGACCTGAGGAGATGAATTAAATTATATGACAAGACATTTCTCTCTGTTTTATTGTATTGCTATACTTTATTTTTAACTAATAAATATTGATTTATTTAAATTGGTGCATACATAGTCATTGTTGTAAGATCTGCATGGGAAATAACCATTTTATATAAAATAATATTATTATTCTGAGCAGTTTTAGAAAAGATGTTTCTTTATCTTACATGTCTGATAATTTAATGTGCCTAATCTTGTTGACTGTTCTTTCTTACTCTTTTGTGCATTGTGGTGCACACTTACAACTTTCTTCTTTTAATTTTCAAAAATGTTTCTTAAATTACATATTTCAGTATGTCTTGTCTTTATTTCTATGATGGATTTCTTTTTTTATTCTGCTTTTATTGAGCTTTGAAGCTCATAATTCCCCCCTACCGACTTTAACACCACATGCTGGCTCTCACTGAAGAGTATCTCTTCTTCCATGCCTCCCTAACTGACTGTTTTTTCCAAATATATTGTGTCTATCTG
This sequence comes from Homo sapiens, assembly GCF_000001405.40. Lineage (NCBI taxonomy): Eukaryota > Metazoa > Chordata > Mammalia > Primates > Hominidae > Homo > Homo sapiens. The sequence goes on along the minus strand of NC_000011.10, from coordinate 38,857,577 downwards.
ATTTAATTTTAGCCTTACTTTCCCCGTTTCTCAGAGTTTTATTTGTCAAAGTATGTTCAGGGAAGACTAAATAGTCTAACAGCTTGTGCAACTATTTACTTTTTCAAAATTATTGGAGAAAACCCAAAATAAAAAATTTGGTTTCAACACGTTGAGTTTAGGTATCTGCAAGGCATATAATCAGAGCTGTCCACCGGATACTTGGTGATATAAGGTAACTACTTAGGGAGAAAAATATTTTCACATATAAAAATGATGCAGTAACTAGCACTGAGAAAGTGGGCTTAAGAATATAAATGAGAAGAATATACACAAAAGGAGCATATTGCCTGGAAAAACAGGTGGTTAACAGGTGGATGTTCACAATCTAACTAATCAAGCATTATTCAAGTATAAAATACCTAGAGAAGTTAGAGGATAGAAGGGGTAAACCTCAAGCAGATAATAATGTATGTCATATATATGTCGTAAATTCAAATTTAATGTCTTCCTGAGTCCCATCATAGTCTGTGTCTTCATGGAAAATAAAGGAATGAGAACACTACCAATGCAGAGAAACTTAATCACTTAATAGTAACCAGGCATGAAAAAATGTTTAGAGATTTGCTTGCATTGTCTCATGCAAGCAAAAAGAAATATAAAGAGTCATAATAGGCCGGGCACAGTGTCTCACACCTGTAATCCCAGCACTTTCGGAGGCCGAGGCGGGCGGATCACCTGAGGTCAGGAGTTTGAGACCAGCCTGGCCAACGTGGTGAAACCCTGTCTCTACCAAAAATACAAAAATTAGCCAGGTGTGGTGGTAAGCCTGTAGCCCAAGCTCCTAAAGAGACTGAAGCAGGAGAGTCGCTTGAACCCAGTAGGCAGAGGTTGCAGTGAGCCCAGATAGCACCACTGTACTTCAGCCTGGGTGACAGAGTGAGACTCTGTCAAAAAAAAAAAGGTCATAATTTATCACATTGTGGTCAAAACCATATAAGGGTGAATATTTTAACAATCTAAAGTGGGTAAAGTGGGAAAGATTTGAGTTAAAGTTGTCCCGGGATGGTAGATATAAAGCAGGACTTTCCTTGGCACACCTGGGATGCGTGGTCACCTAATTTTAAGGCACTTAATAAGGTACATCATTAGTGACATGGGTATATCAGGTGGTGATAATTCCATTTTACTCGATTAATATCAACCATAACTCTACCTTTTTATACATCCAGCTCTCTTACTTGTAATACGTGTTTATATTACTCCTTGGTTTCTAAGTAGGCTTTCCTGCACAAAAATAGTATGTGTGCTTATTCAGGTGACACTGCTTTCTAACTCATCACACAAGCTGATTAGCCAGTATAAATAAGCGCATTGCTTTTTTTGACATACAATTCATCCTTTTAGGGTTTGGGGTAGCATAGATAGATTTCTTAACAGCTTCTGGTAAGTTGATGCAATTTTGTTGCTGAGCGTGAATATACGAGGCAGGAAATCTTGGCATATTCAGGGAATAATGAGTAGAGCAATACTGCTGGAGAAGAGCTCATGAAGTTGAATTTTGACATCAGTGATCCAGAATTCTTTCTTTTTTTCTTTACTGATCCAAAATTTTTAAGGGATGGCTCTCAGCCTTGTAGCCAGAGCAATGTTTCTTCATCCCCATGAAACATTAGCAGAGAAATTATACCCAAGGTTTCAACCTGGTCATTGCCGCTCCCTGCTATCACTGTGCAAACTATCATTTTCTTCTGAACGTTTTTCCACACAGAAAAAACATCATTTTTTTTCTGAAGTTCTTTTCATGTAGACTGTGGTCTCTGAAAATCTAATGAAACCTCTGTTTTCCTTGTTATATTCTCAGTCCTCCATTCTTTGCACATATTTTCAAAATTTATTCTTGTCCTCTGTATCTGTGAAAAGTGAATAGCCCAATAAACTCTGAGGTTTAGGCATTCTTCTTTTTTATTGCATTGTTGGTAGTTCTTATCCCTAGCCAGACATGTTAAGTGACAGACAGTGATAGTGGAGGTAATAAGGCTACCTTAATTCTAAACCAAAGTAAACAGGCTGTCATAAAAATATGGAATTGAATAGATGACAAATTCTCTCTCTGAAAGCAATTATTTCTGAACCTCAGATCTAATAATCTGCAATTCTGAAAGCTTAGGGAAGTGCTCATTTGTGGCTCAATCAATTTAAAACTAAAATCTGCATGACGGTACAGATAGCAGCTGAGAGAAAGGTTTTTTTCCTCTGCTCTGAAAAAATAACAGACATCTTTTGTAATATCTATTGGCTTTCAATTTATTACAACAATGGTATATTATGCAATCCTCTATATCATCAAATAATAGCTTCCCTGACTAGTATGACCAAATTTTTGTGCAGGAATACAAAGGTAAATAATGAATAAAATAATGCCCTTCCCCAGAGAAAGGCATATGAGTCCTATTAGGCAAATATTTGTTAAAAGAAATTTAGCTCTGTGTAAAATTGTATTTCTTAAATAATATATTTAATAGGAGGAGTATCGTAGTACATATGAATAGCCTTATTTGATTATGTATTTGAAAATGGCTTGCTAAGAATGGCATAGAAGAAATGAATGGTTATGTATAATAAACCTATTATACTATGAAATAATTGTAAGTGGAAACAGGTCAGTATATTTTGAAGAGCTATCATGAGTCAGAATTAAATATGTTATAACTTATAATCCCAAACCAATGACTAGCTATTATTTCCATTTTAGCTTCAGGAAAAAGTAGGTCTTGAGTTGTAAAATCCTTACCTAAGATGACATTAAGAAAGTGGAAGGGTCAAGATTCAAGCACTTATCAGTCATATTCCAAAGCCCAGGCTTAGTCCACCATATCATCTCTACTTACTGAGTTATGTGATAGATTGAGTCCAAAATAAACTTCTCATATTAGCATAATTGAGTAAATATAGATTTTTTAACAATATAGTTACCCTTAGAAAAATGTATTTATTAATGAAAATAATTATTAAATGTCTAATTCCATAAAATGGAAAACTGAAAAGTAAAAGTAAAAATAACTATGCCTAGAAAGTGAAAACAATTATGTTAGTGTTCTTCACTTGATACTGAATTAAGTAGCTAAGAGTAGATGTGCCAAGATTATGTATACAGGTGAATGCCCTCTGTTCTCATTGTTTACCTTGAGCCCCTAAAATAATGACTTTTTACATTATATAAACTCAGAGAAGTCGAAACCTAGAAAGAGTTAAATTTGTACAACACATTCATTTTGTCAATACAGAAATGCATACTTGGGGAATTAATGTGAGTCACCTAAGATTTAATAAGGTTGAGAAAAAAACTGAAAACAAACTGATAATTCTTATTTAATATAAAGTAGATTCGAATTTTCTTAAACTCTAAAAAAATCCCAATATTTTGTTAAGATGGAGAGTTAATATTGAGTGAGTGAACAGAATATTGCTTAAGTCTAATGACACATAACTTATATGAAAATGTCTCCTATAAATTGTGTATTTCATATATCTTTTTGTTCAAACTTGAATTGCTATGGGTTGTCTAGTAGTACTTTCATTCCATTACTTTATTACTTTTCTTCTTTTTCCTTAGGCTGCAACTATAAGTGGTGTATTAGTCTGTTCTTGGCATGGCCATAAATAACTACCTAAGACTGGGTAATCTATAAAGAAAAGAGGGTTAATTAGCTCCTGGTTCCACAGGCTGTACAGGAGGCATGGCTGGGGAGGCCCCAGGAAACTTAAAATCATGGTGGAAGATGAAAGGGAAGCTGGCAAGTCTGACATGGCTAGAGTAGGAGGAAAACAGAGTGGGGGAAGGTGCTACACATTTTTAAACAATCAGATCTTGTGAGAACTCATTCACTATCACAAGAACAGAAAGGGGGAAATCTTCCCCCATGGTCCAATCATCTCCCACCAGGCCCCTCCTCCAACACTGGGGATTACAATTCGACATGAGATTCTGTCAGGGACACGATTCTAAACCACACCAACTGGGTACTATATTATATAATACAGTATATAACTGTAATCTAGAATTAGATAAAGAGTTTAAGTGCTAGAATTAGAGAGTTTAGAAAGGCAAGATGTTGCTTGGGAATGGTTTACATTACAAAGTACAGCTATACAGGAACACATAAGGAGTTTGGTAGACAGTAAGTATGGTCCTGTGATAGATATATGCAAGATTACAAAATTGTTTACATGATTTGAAGGTGGCATTTATTGCTTAGGTATATTATATATATATATATTCTACTTAGGAGACGTAGCATTAAGTTCAAGTTTAAAAGTGAAACAGAGAGCATACTCTGAATTACTAGAAAAATTACAATGGTTTCAGCTTTACTCTAAAGAGTAAACTTTATATTTGTGTTCACCAAAGTGGAACAACACTATAGAGAAGGACTAATTCCAAGGAGAGTTTAGTAGTACAACATATGATAATAAAGTGCTTAGTGACTTTATTATGACACCTGTCCTTATAAGCCCTCTACTTACATTAACTTATTTAAGACTCAGAGTAATAGTAGAAGTTGGTTATATTTATCACCCCAATTTATGAATGAATAACTGAGGCATACAGAGGTTTTTACTTCTGGATTTCTGTAAAATCACTCCATTATTTTTCTTGAAAATATTTAGATCACTAAATTTTGAGTACCCCCCCATCTTAATAGTCTCTGAATGCTGCTTGCAAACAGAAAAGTTATAGTAACCTTTGCATTGCCTTTATTTTATGTTAAAATATGTTTTATAGATGAAGCTGAAACTGACAGCAGATGGTGGTTGGAAAGAATCCAATATTTTTCCTTTCTCCGTCATGTAATAGTTTTTACTATCCTCTCCTCACTTCACAGATTCATCCCATTAAAATAAATTTTCAAGAAATTTAACTAATGAAGCTATTTTTACAGATATATACTTGGTATATGTTTTTAAATATATAAAACAAACTTAAGGCCCATGTTTCAATTGTAGATCAACCATTTCTCTTACGTATTACCATAATGGTCACTTGCCTACTATTACTCTTGCCTTTACCATCCTTAGTCTTTAAATGATAATATGAAATATGAACAGTGATTATTCATGTTTTCATTCTAAAGGACTCTAAAAGTTACATGAAGCATTGCCTCTTTATTTCAGAAGAAAGAAAAACATTCTCAACTAATTAGAGATATTGTAACGTTCAAATGATAGTAAAGTTGAAACAGACATTATTTTTTATCAAGCAATATAAACACTTTTGATCATCAGGCATGGTACAAAGCCATGAGTACAGTAAGGCTTGATGTCTCAAAGAGTAGTGTAATTTCCCTTTTAGGAAGAATTAATTTTTTTTTTTTTGAGACGGAGTCTCACTCTGTTGCCCAGGCTGGAGTGCAGTGGAGCCACCTCAGCTCACTGCAAGCTCCGCCTCCCAGGTTCAAGTGATTCTCCTGCCTCACCCTCCAGAGTAGCCGGGACTACAGCCATGTGCCACCACGCCCGGCTAATTTTTGTATTTTTAGTAGAGACAGAGTTTCACCATGTTGGTCAGGCTGGTCTCGAACTCCCGACCTCAGGTGATCTGCTGGCCTCAGCCTCCCAAAGTGCTGGGATTACAGGCATAAGCCACCGCACCTGGCCCTGAAAGAAAATTCTTTAAAAAAATACATACATAAAAACCAAATAAAATGTGAAAATAATGCTTTGAAATTATTTTACCAATTTTTAATCCAAAAAGGTTTTGATATGTAAACAATTGGATAACCATTAGATATGAAAGAATAATTTAACAATAGAAGAAATAAATGAAATTTTATTATCATATACATTTTTTAATTGGTAATGTTCTAAAATTATGTTTTAGTATATTGCAGAATGATAGCTTATGAAACAATAACCTAGTGATTAGATATTTTAGGCTTTTGGTAAACATAAATTTCTTAATTTAAAAGCTGAATAGTAATGCATATCATTTCATTTACAAACCTTAAAATGCACATTTCACTCCCCACAAAAAGAAACACTTAATATTAAACTGATTATTTGGTTGTAAATTTATTTCCAAATTTAACAGAATGTGTAATAGAACATATAAGGTACTTTTTATTTGTTAAAGACCATTTACTTCATACATCCTGCATGCAATGTATTGAGCTTTCAATTTAAAAAAATTCAAGGTAAACCATATTCTGTACATAATTATTTAAAAACTATTGCCAATATAGTGAGTGGTATTTTAAAATAATATTTATCATTGCTCCACACTCAACATCATTAATGTTGCACTTATTCTGTAATGGTTCTTATGCTTCTACTCCTGAATAGATTTTATATTTTTTATTTTAACTCTCCTTAAAAAAATTAAATTCTGCAGTTGCATTTTTTGTAAATATAAGCCAAACTGCTTGTTGTAGTTATGTTTAGATAACATCTGGGAGCATTACCCCAAAGCAAAGAGGATCTATTTCCAATTCATCTCCAGAATGTTGGAGTGTAGTAATTCATTGTCAGTTGACTATTTTGTTTGGAACACTGCATTTATTAGAGAAAAGAATTCATGATTTGATGTGGTGTTTTTCACAACAGAAATGTTTGAAAGAAAAATTACCTCTTTCATGATCTATTGCTGTGATTTTATATGGAGGAAAATGCAGAAAGCTTTTAAATATTATTACACGCTTTATGTGAAGCCTGTGTACAGAGAACATCACTGCCAACCAACAACATTTGACAGTGTCTTGTGAGTCTAAAACCACTGAAAAGAATACTATTTTTAACTTGAGAATTGAATGATATCGAATGACTTTTAATAAATGCAACTACTTTCCATATTTGTGTCAGTAAACCATTGCTCCGTAACAAAATTGCAATGAGTTACAATTTATTCCTTGTCCCTTTTATTGAAAAGAATCGCTAAGGGTGATAACGGATAGAGAGATGTGAAAAATTGGTGCCAGTGATGAAATATACCACACAAAGGGTAACATCAGAATAATCTCGACCATGCATTAAGAAGATAGAAAGATCTTGAATTAACAAGAATAAACTAAACCCAAATCTAGCAGAAGAAAAGATATAACTATAATCTGAGAAAAACTAAATGAAATTGAGACTCAAAAATATCATACAAAGGATCAATAAAACAGAATTGGTTCTTTGAATGGATAAAGACATTTGATAGACCACTAGCCAAATTAATAAAGAAAAAAGATAATATTCAAATAAGCACTATCAGAAATGACAAAAGTGGCATTACAACCAATCCCACAGGAATACAAAAGATCCTCAGAGACTACTATAAAATTCTCTATACAAAAAAACTAAAACCTAGAAAAGCTAGAGAAAATTGATAAATTTTTAGAAACACACAATCTACCAAGTTTAAACTAGGAAGAAGCAGTAATTCCGAACAGAACAATAATGAGTAGTAAAATTGAAACTGTGAAGTACCTACCAACCGAAAAAAAAAAAAAAGCCCCTGAGCCAAATGGATTCTTAGCCACATTTTAGCAGATATAAAAATAAAAATAAGAGCTTGTCCCAATCCTACTGAAACTATTCCGAAAAATCAAGGAGGAAAGGTTTCTCTCTAACTCATTCTATGAAACTGGTATCATCCTGACATCAAAATCTGGCAAAGACACAACAAAGAAATAAAATTACAGGAAAATATCCCTGATGACATAGGTTCAAAAGTCCTCAACAAAATACTAGCAAAATGAATCTGGCACCACATCAAAAATATAATTCATCATAATCAAGTAGACTTTATTCCTGTGATGCAAGTATAGTTCAACATACACAAATCAATATATGTAATTCACCACATGAACAGAATTAAAAGTAAAAACCATATAATCATCTCAACAAATGCAAAAAAAAAGAATTTCATAAAAAACAGCATTCCTTCATGATAAAAACCCTTAACAAACTTAGCATTGAAGGAATATACCTAAAAATAATAAGCATCTCTGAACAAACCAGAAAAACACAGCCAAATCATCCTAAACAGGCATAAGTTGAAAGCATTCCCCCTGAGAACTGTCAAATAACAAGGATATCCTTTCTCATCACTCCTACTCAATATAGTATTAAAGGTCCTAACCAGAGCAATCAGGCAAGAGAAAGAAATAAAGGGCATCCAAATAGAAGAGAAAGTCAGATTACCTCTGTTTGCTGATAATGATTCTAAACTAAGAAAACCCTAAAGACGGCTGGGCGCGGTGGCTCACTCCTGTAATCCCAACACTTTGGGAGGCTGAGGCAGGTGGATCATGAGGTCAGGAGTTCAAGACCAGCCTGGTCAAGATGGTGAAACCCCGTCTCTACTAAAAATACAAAAAAATTAGCCAGCCGTGGTGGCGTGTGCCTGTAATCCCAGCTACTCGGGAAGCTGAGGCAAAGAATTGCTTGAACCCAGGAGATGGAGGTTGCAGTGAGCCAAGATTGTGCCACTGCACTCCAGCATGAGTGACAGAGTGAGACTCCATCTCAAAAAAGTAAATAAATAAATTAATTAAATAAAATAGAAAAGAAAACAAAACCCTAAAGATTCTGCCAAAAGACTCCTAGACCTTGTACATAACTTCAGTAAGATATAAAATCAATGTACAAAAATCAGTAGCATTTATTTATACTAATAGCATTCAGTCTGAGAACCAAATCAAGAATGCAGTACCATTTACAGTAGCTACGTGCGCACACACACACACACACACACACACACACACACCTAGAAATACTTATAACCAAGGAGGTGAAACATGTCTACAAGGAGAACTACACACTACTGAAAGAAATCACAGATGACACAAATAAAAAAAATTCCATGCCCATGGATGGGAAGAATCAATATCAATAAAATATCTATACTTCCTAAAGCAATCTACAGATTCCACATTGTTCCTGTCAAATAAACAATGCTATTTTTCACAGAATTAGAAAAAACAATTCTAAAATTCATATGGAACAAAATGGAACCCCAATAGCCAAAGCAATCTTAAGCAAAAAGAACAAAGCCAGAGGCATCATATTACCTGACTCCAAACTATACTGAAAGGCTATAGTAACCAAAACAGCATGGCACTTTTATATTTTATACTAGAAATATAAAAGTAGACACATAAACCAATGGAACAGAATAGAGACCCCAGAAATAAAGCTGTACACCTACAACCGAATGGTCTTTGAGAAAGTTGACAAAAATAAACAATAAAGAAAAGATATCCTATTTAATAAATGGTGCTGGGAAAACTGGATAACAATATTCAGAAGAGTGAAACTGGACCCCTACCTCAGCATACACACACATTAACTCAAAATGGATTGAACTCTTAAATGTAAGATTTCTAAGTGTAAAAATCCTAGAAGAAAACTTAGGAAATACTCATAGACATTAGCCTGGGCACATAATTTATAACGGAATCCTCAAAAGCAAATTCAACAACAAAAACAATTAAGTAGGACCTAATCAAACTAAAGAGCTTGTGCACAGCAAATGAAACAATCAAGAGTAAACAGACAACCTATAGAATGGGAGAAAATATTTGCAAATTGTGCATTTAACAAAGGACTAATATTCAGAATCTATCAGCAACTCAAACAAAACAAGGAAAAAACAACACATTTGTAAAGTAGGCAAAGGACATGAGCAGACACTCCTCAAAAGAAAACATACATGCAGCCAACAAACATTAAAAAATG